>NC_000008.11:16526769-16829799 GCF_000001405.40 Homo sapiens | reverse complement strand
CCGGGCACTGTCGCTCACGCCTGTAGTCCCAGCACTTTGGGAGGCCAAGGAGGACGGGTCACTTGAGGTCAGGAGTTCAAAACCAGCCTGGCCAACATGGGGAAACCCTGTCTCTACTAAAAATACAAAAAAAGTAGCCAGGCGCGGTGGTGGGCGACTGTAATCCCAACTACTTGGGAGGCTGAGGCAGGAGAATCGCTTGAACCTGGGAGATGGAGGTTGCAGTGAGCTGAGATCATGCCATTGCACTCCAGCCTGGGCGACAGAGCCAGACTCCATGTCTAAATAAATAAGTAAATAAATAAATAAATAAATAAATAAATAAAGTGTGTCAGCTACTTTTCTCTTTAATTCTTAGCAACATCTTTCTGGCAAGTACAGATCAACAGCTCCCTCCCCACTCTAACCGCTTTTGTTTTATACGATATGCAGCATGTGCAGAAGGTAGTTCGTCAATGACTCTCTTTACTACTTATCAATATTCTTTTGATATCTCTTTGATTCTCAGTTTACTGTATAACTCATCACACTGTCTATGTTTTGCTCAGGAAATACTCTATCCTGATTGCCATTTGTACTTCCAGATGGCTTTTTACTAATGTCTGTTCAGCTATGAACTGATAATTAAGATATGAACAGACAGTGAGTTAAGACTTAACTCCTTCCAGAAAACTTTTTGGAAACATACGTTGATAGAGATTATTCAAGGAAAGAAATCTCCAAGATCCCAAGGAATAAAAATGATACAATAGGCACTAGAACATACAGTTTTAGATGAAACCCCCTCCATCACTACAGATGTCTACTAGTAAGGCAGCCCTATTCAGGCCTTTTGCAGAATCTCTGTGCAAAGTTTAGCATCACCACATTCAAAGTCCTGCAGGGATTTCTAAGTAGGGCCTGTGCCATGTGGCCCAGAGAAGTGTAGACACTTGTAGTTCTGGCCCCTTCTGCCATGTCCCAGTTTCTCTTCTAGGTCCTTCACATGGATCATCTCATTTAATTCTCACAGCAATCATATCCAGTAGGTTTCATTATTATTTCCATTTTGCAGATGAGACAGAGGCATATTGAGGTCAAGTACTTTTTTCAAGGTATCTCTGATAGTAGGCAGAAAAACTGAAATTGGAACTCAGGGCATTTGATTCCAAAAAGTCATGGATTTACTACCAGATTATACATGTAATGTGGTCATTTAAATATAAAACAATAATGTTTCTTTAAAGTCATCTATGTTCTCTTTCAATGAATTGGAGTGAAGAATAGGCATTCTGGTCGTAGTAAGATTCTGTGCTCAACATTATATAACTATATATGTTATATATGTTAACTATATATGTTAACTTTATATATAACATATATATGTTATATATATATGTTAACTCTATATAAATATAAAGTTAAAAAGGCAAATTGCCTAAATTAGATTCCCTTAAAGATCTCTTCTAAATTGAATATACTCTTTTCAAGTTTCCATCTCTTTAGACAGGTTGACATGAAGCAAGTTTGTAGACACTGCTTTTTGACATGGAACTAATCTATTTTCAATTTAAATGAAGTTTTGAAATGGCAATAAACTTCCTAGAGCAGAAGACAAGACCAGAGCCTTTCTTCAGAATCAATGGACAAAGTCAAGGACAATACACTTTGTTATTATGTGAGATTGCAGTTCTTGAATTCTTAAATTTGTTTGAGTGTTTCATTAAGTGAGTTTTAGACTTTAAGGACTGTGATGGTTAATACTGTGTGTCAACTTGATTGGATTGAGAGCTACAAAGTATTCATCCTGGCTGTGTCTGTGAGGGTGTTGGCAAAAGAGATTAACATTTGAGTCCCTGGGCTGGGGAAGGCGGATCCACCCTTAATCTGGTGGGCACAATCTAATCAACTTCCAGCGAATATAAAGCAGCAGAAAAACGTGAAAAGGAGACACAGGCCTAGCCTCCCAGCCCACATCTTTCTCCTGTGCTGGATGCTTCCTGCCCTCATCATTGGACTCCATCTTCTTCAGTTTTGGGACTCAGACTGGCTCTCCTTGCTCCTTCAGCTTGCAGACAGCCTACTGTGGGACCTTGTGGTCATGTAAGTTAATACTTAATAAACTTCCCTATACATATATATATACACACACACATATACATGTATATATATACATATATATACATACATATATATTCCCTATACATATATATACATATGTGTGTGTATATATATATATATATGTATATATATGTCCTATTAGGTCTGTCCCTTTAAGAGAACCCTGACTAATACAAGGACATACTAATTTGGAGTGTTTCTAGAGTTTAGAAATGTGTGTTCCACATTTTTGACATTTTCATAATTCACTGTCAAAGATGAAAATGTGTGAGGTTGCAGGGGATTGCTATGTCTACCAGCATCCCATGCATTTGCGAGATGGGCTTAAATGCTCATAATGAAGACAGGCAGCTATCAGGTTGTTGATTTGTTGGAAGTGATAATTCACCTTAATTCAACACTGAACCTTTGTGTTCTTGGGCAAAGAAGAGATTTAGAGCCTGCTCTCCAATGACTTATTCTTGTGGTAAGGTGGAAACACACAAAACTCACTCTGATATCTTGCGGGTAAATGACGGCTGAGGAAACCAGTCGATGTGCTATGGGTATACGTGGCTGGGGAAGTTCACTTATGATTGAGAACATTTTTGGGGAATGTCTTAAGAGATGGAATTTGAACTGAATTTTAAAGGATATGCAGGACTTGAGAGAGAAGTATGGGAGGAAATATCATTGTGTAGCAGGAGTACTAGCTTTGTGATCAGATGGGCCAGGCTAAGAAGAGTGTACAAGTTCTTTACTCTGTGTGTGATACTGGGTAAGTTTCTTCACATTTTCCAACCTCACTTTTCTCATCTGAATAGAGGATAATAATATTCGCATCACAGAGTTTTTGTTTGAGATCCTGAAAGAAGAGTCTAATATAGTACTTGGGATGTCACAGGCATTTGGTAACCCATGTGAATACAAGTTGACACATTTTCGGTATCTTGCTGGAAAATTGCTACCTGAGAATCAGGATTGAATAATTTTTGCTCAGTCATTAGCTATTTCTCATTGCTCCTTAAGTGATTCTTATGTGGTTTGCCAATCTTCCTTTTGTTATCCAAAAAAGAGATCCTAGATTATTCTGGAAATTAAGGTTTTCAAGGAAAAGCAGGAGTTGAATAGGGGCAGAAAGGTTAACAGCAGATACTGTCCTTTTATAAGTTTTTTCACCTATTTCCTATGTAATGAAAAGCAAAATCTACTTGTCGAATGACTACTCTTTTATGTGGGAGGTAAATATTTTTATTTCTGAAGGAAGAGAGCAACTATTGACCTGTGAACGAGGGTAGTTACCTGAAAGTACAGAGAGTGGGCCGTGAGTCCCCTGCTGGGTAGTCTGTGGTGGCGTAAAATGATTAAATGGAGTGAGAATGCTTTCTTCCTTAGTCCTCACAGGCGGATCGAAGGAATCTTGCTTTTAAATGAAATGAGAACATCATTGAGAATGTCTGCCAGGAGATGAAGAGGTTTTGGTCTCTGAGTGGATCTAGCCAGAGTGAGGCCCAGGGAGTACTGACTCATCTATTTGAATGACTAGAAATGTGGCACGGTGCCCAGAAATTAGGTCAGAGCCCTTCGATGTGAAGGAGAGGGTTTTTAATGTGTGTGTGTGTGTATGTCTGTGTGTGTGTGTGTGCGTGTGTGTGTATCTGCAGATATACATATATCTGTATATGTATATTTCTAGGATCATTGCCTAACTATGGAAAGCAAATAGATTTTATAGGAATTTTCTCCTGGACTTAGATTTTTCAGTTGAGGAATCAATTCAGATAAAAAAATACATACTATTTTGTCTTAATAAACAATTTACTCTGAGTAATACTGGGTGACATCTCAGTTACTAGGATTCTGTCCAGATTTTGCTGCTTGAAAGCAGTATTTCTTTATTATTTGGTACACATTTAAAAAAATTTATAACTAACTTGAGTACCTCTTCCAAAGAATTGTTTTTGACAATATGGGAATTGGGAATAATTATATTAAACAAAATTTATCCTGGAAGTGTTCTATTAAGAACCTTCTTTAATCATTATTATATTAAAGATCCCTCTTATCAGAGAGTGATAGAGTATTTTAAGTGGCTTATGTTTAAAATTACTTCCCTTATAAAAGATTTTCAGATGTCAACTCTAATGTTTAATAGAGATATTTTCAAATATGTGACTTGTAAGTTAAGAAGTATCTGTCTTGGTTGAAAAGTAATTCTACTGAATTTGTGGTTCTCTCCAATCATTGACATCATGGGATCTTGGGTTTATTTTTGAGTCCTTTACCTAAAGGACTTGGAAAATAACAAGATTTTTTAAAGTTAATGTGAAGAAAAGAGAAACTAGGAGAGTCTTGGTGGAAGTTCTTACCAACAGTTTGCTTTTAGACACGAATCTTGACTTTATGACCTTATTGTGCCCCATTTTATCTGAAAAAAGAATCCTATGAAACCCACAAAAACTTCTTTAAAAAGATTTTAACATTTATTTAAAATAAAAATATAAGGAATCTGTTATAAAATACTTTGGTTCTGGAGTCAGTGAAGACAACCTTTTTCATTCACTATATGGTAATTGTTTTTTAAATGATGCCACGAATATATATATATAATATATATATTATATATATAATATATATTTTATATATATATATATATATATATAGTGATCTCGGATAAATTTGTTGTGATAATTGTCTGCCAATTTCTCCAAAAAATAAATGCTATTTTAAAATTTCTCCTGTTCAAATGTAGAAATTTAAGTGAACTCTGAAAGATAAGTAATTACATATTCCCTGTGAGACATGGAGGCTCTTTTTAAAAATTGCTTTAGTTTTAAAATAATATACAGAACTGAGTGATTCCTGAAACTTGACTTATTACATCAGATGTACCTTTCTTTTTAGAAAGAAAAATAATTGCCACCACAGATATACCACTCAAGAAAAAAAATTGAATTGTTCATCTTTTATTAATGCTGTAGACAAGGTGTGCTGAATGGTTCTTTTTAGCAGGCAGATATTTTTTAATTCATTATGAATATTTTTTCTTTTGGTTTTCATGAACTGTGAAGCATATATTCTATTATTCTATTCTGGAGTATGTTCTAGAATATATTAATAACCTTGTTTACTTGACAATGACCTTAAGAAACGATCTGTTTTTATTCCAGAGGCAAGAAGAAGGGAAAGCTACATTTAAAAATTATATTTCACCCAACTTGTAGATCTGATACAATGTTTTGATGGCTATATTTAGAATGTATGTATTATATATGTATATATTATATACGTAATATGTATATATGTGTGCATATATATATATGCACACACACACACCTGGAAATTTGTCTTAAGGTTTTCATCAGTGTAAAGTACACTTATTAAAGTCCTTGGAATATACATTGTGAAGAAAAGAGATTTTTAAAAATTCCTGCTTTTGTAGAATTAACATTTAAGCTGGAGAATACAAAACATAACAGATGTGTAAATTATGTAGTGTGGGGGAACGTGCTAAGTGCTGTGAAAGAAAGAACAAAGGAAAAATCGTGCAGGGTAAAGGGAGTGAAATTAAGATTCATTTTTAGGAGAACACATTTTTCTTTATTTTCTTAGACTGGTAGTTCCTTTGATAAATAAAAGACAGTAGCTCAAAATCTAGTGGTAGAAATGGTGCAAGTGTATAAAGGCAAAAAGCAATAATGCAAAAGAGAAACAATCTAAACTTGTTTCTATGGTTCTATGATTTTAATATGTTTATAAACATGAAATCATTCCTTTAATGGAAACTTTCTCATTTCTAAACCCTGTAACCCTGTATGTGAACACTGTGAGTACTGATAACTTCTTTCAAAATGAGGATATCAGATTATTCCTTATTCCTGTTGTGCACATTTAGCGGCAAATGTCTGCTAATTTCCAAATGTAGGTGAAGACTTAGATGTAGAGATATTCATTGCATCAGTGTTCTCAATAGCGAAAAACTGGAAACAGACTAGATGCCCATCAATGGAGGAAAGGATGTATAAACTATTGGAAATTATAGCCATATTTGGAAATTATCCAGCAGGTAAAATATTTAGCTATAATGATATGTATTGCCATGGAAAACTTTTGAGGACATAACACTAAGTTTTGAGAAAAACAAATTTCTAAGCGATATACTTAGTAAATTGATATTAAAATAATCCAAACAAATCAAAACTATATATTGGTATATACATATGTATATATGATTAATCAGTTTATTTTTACCAAGTCTTTACTCAATCTCTGTATTCGAATTGAAGATCCATATCCTTTTTGATGTGAAATGCTATCGTACAATAAATTCTTTGATATAATTTGGATCTGTATCCTCACTCAAATTTCATGTTCAATTGTCATCCCCAGTATTGGAGGTGGGGCTTGGCGGGAGGTGATATGGCTTGGCTGTGTCCTCTCCCAAATCTCGTCTTTACGTGTAGCTTCCATAATTCCCATGTATTGTGGGAGGGACCCAGTGGGAGATAACTGAATCATGGAAGTGGTTTCCCCCATACTGTTCTACTGGTAATGAATAAATCTCATGAGATCTCATGGTTTTATAAGGGAAAACCCCTTTCACTTGCTTCTCATTGTGTCTCTTGTCTGCTGCAATGCAAGATGTGCTTTTTGCCTTGCACCATGATTGTGAGGCCTCCCCAGCCACATGGAACTGTGAGTCCATTAAATCTCTTTTTCTTTCTAAATTACCCAGTCTTGGGTAGGTCTTTATCAGCAGCATGAAAACGGACTAATACGGAAGGTGATTGGATCATGGGGGCAGAATTCTCATGAATGGTCTAGCACCATCCCTTTGGTACTCTTCTCATGATAGCGAGTGAGTTACTGCGAAATCTGGTCAGTCAAAAGTGTGTAGCACCTTCCCCTTCTCTCCTCCCTCTACTCTCTCTTGCTCCTGCTTTCACCATGTGAAGCGCCTGCTCTTGCTTTGCCTTCTGCCATGAGTAAAACTCCCTGAGGCCTCTCTAGAAGCAGATGCCTCCATGCTTCCTGTATAAGCTTCATAACAGTGAACCAATTAAAGCTCTTTTCTTTATAAATTATGCAGTCTCAGGTATTTCTTTACAGGAAAGTGAGAATGGGTTAATACATTCCTATAACTATTTGTGTCTATAGCTCCCTGCCTTGTCTTGCCTGGCTTTACAACCTGTCTTGCCAAATGGAATGTTAGAGGGTATAGTGTAAGCAGAAGCTTCAAATATCCTTGTGTGTTTTGCCTGACCTCTTTCACTTGACTGTTTTCCATTAGAATATTCAAGTCCTGGTAGCTGATGGTCCCAGAGGCAAAGCAGTTAGAATGAACCTAAACTGATCTATAGCCTGAAGTGCAGCTACCTTAGCTGCCCCATAATATCTTGATCAATAAAAATGAATGTTCTAAGCCTCTGATTTTTTTTTTTTTTTAAGACGGAGTCTCACTCTGTCACCCAGGCTGGAGTGCAATGGCACAATCTCAGCTCACTGCAACCTCTGCCTCCCAGGTTCAAGCTATTATCTTGCCTCAGCCTCCTGAGGAGCTGGGACTGCAGGCACCCATCACCACGCCTGGCTAATTTTTGCATTTTTAGTAGAAATGGGGTTTCACCATGTTGGCCAGGCTGGTCACGAACTCCTGACCTCAAGTGATCCACCCACCTTGGCCTCCCAAAGTGCTGGGATTACAGGCATGAGCCACTGAGCCTGGCCAAAGCCTTTGATTTTTGAGGTTGGTTGTTATGAAGCATTATTGCAGCAATAGCTAAGTGACACAACATGTTTGTATGTGAGTGCTTAGAAAAAGATCAGGAACAATAGTTACCAGACTATAATCTTTATTTCTGAGAATTGAGATTGGCCGTAAACAGTTGCATTATTTCGTTTTCACGCTGCTGATAAAGACATACCCAGTGCAGCCATAAAAAATGATGAGTTCATGTCCTTTGTAGGGACATGGATGAAATTGGAAAGCATCATTCTCAGTAAACTATCGCAAGAACAAAAAACCAAACACCGCATATTCTCACTCATAGGTGGGAATTGAACAATGAGATCACATGGACACAGGAAGGGGAATATCACACTCTGGGGACTGTTGTGGGGTGGGGGGAGGGGGGAGGGATAGCATCGGGAGATATACCTAATGCTAGATGACGAGTTAGTGGGTGCAGCACACCAGCATGGCACATGTATACATATGTAACTAACCTGCACAATGTGCACATGTACCCTAAAACTTAAAGTACAGTAAAAAAAAAAAAAAAAAAAGACATACCCAAGACTGGAAAGAAAAATAGGTTTAATGGACTCACAGTTCCACGTGGCTTATTTTCCCTCTTTATTACCTGTTTTGTTCTTGACTTTGCTTTTTTCTGTCATTAGCATATCATAGAGAGATCTAGTTATTTTAGTACACGCACACCTTCTGCATTCTGTTTCTACAAGTGTCTAATATTCCATGGTGTAGAAGTACTTTATTCAGTCAGTCCAATATTTTTGGGAACTTGGATTATGTCTAGACTTTTTCTACTACAAACAATGCCCACAATGAAAAATCTTGCACATTTTATTCTACAAGTGTGCCATCATCTGCAAATAAAGTTTTATCTTTTCCAGTTTTTAAAAAGTTGTATTTTGTTTTAAATTGACACATAATTGTACATATTTATGGGGTAGAGGGTGATGTTTCTATACATGAATACATTATGTAGTGATCAAATCAGGGTAGTTAGCATACTCATGACCTCACAAATTTATCATTTCTTTGTGGTGAGAGCATTCAAAATTCTCTCTTCTAGCTATTTGGAAATACACAATACATTATTATTAACTATAGTTATCCTACTGTGCAATAGAACAACAGAATTTCCTTTGCTACTTTTAAGCACTAGCTTTTTTTCTCTTGCCCAGTTGTTTAGCTGAATACTTTTAATACAAAGTTAAATAGGAGAGTTGATAGTGGCCATCCTTAGTCTTGTTCTTCTTGTGTCTCTTGGTTAGGAAAGATGCTAGTGTTTGGGCTTTCTAACCTACAATCATGTACCAGGTAACATCTTTGCCACAAACAGTACAATGAAATTAAGTAACTAACAAGAGTTTAATGAAGAGAAAACATTTATAACAATGTAGGCAGGATTAAGGAACCAAAAAGGGTTTCCAGCACACATATTAAGGAAGTGCCTACTGAATGACTTTTATTACATATTTTAAAAATTAAGAATAGAGTTGAATTGATTAAATAACTTTTCAATATCCATGGAGATGATTATAGGTTTTTCTTTTTAGATCATGAACAGAATAACTTTATTAAGATAACTTACTGAATCTCTTAATATTGAGCCATCTTTCACAACTAAATTTAATGATTATGTCCAAAGTTTTTAAACTTCATACAAATGGAAAAATAAAATAGGTAAACAAATACACGTGACTTCTTTTGCTCAATGTTGTGAGATTTCATCCATTTTTATGTAACCATATATATGTATACCATGTAATATACTCTTTCATATTTTATTTTGCAAATATTCTATTTTATTCTACTGTTGGTGAATATTTGGGTTATTCTAGTTGTAGCTACTTAAAAATACTGCTGCTGTGAATATTCTTAGACATGTCTTTTGATGTACATAATGTACACATATCTATTTACCTAGGAATAGAATTGCTGGGTTTTTAGGTGTACTTATTTAATTTATTTTTTGGGAATTCCTAATGTATTCTGGATATGACTCCTTTGTCAGAAATATGTTTTAATTTTATTTTTCCAAATTATCGTTTATCTCTTCAAATACTTAATGATGTCTATTGACAAACAAAAATCTTTAGTTTTTATGTGGGTTAGTTAATCATTGTTTTCCAATATGATCAGTACTTCTTCCCCTGTTTATATATTTTTTAATCCAAAGTTCCTGAATAATTTTCTTGTGTTATTTTCTAGAACTGCACTGTTCAATACTGTACCCAGTAGCCTAGTGTAGCTATTTAAGCTTAAATATAAATTACAATAAATTGAAAATTCATTTCCTCATTTGTGCTAGTCATGTTTTCAGTACTCAGTAGTTACAAGTGGCTTGGTGGCAACCCTACTGGGCATTGCAAATAGGGAACATTTCTATTGGACAGCACTGTTGTAGAAGCTTTTGTCATTTACTGTTCACGTTTAGATCTACAATCCATCTGGAATTTTTGTGGTAGAACTGCAGCAATTAGCTTTTACTGTGGAACAAACCACCCCAAAACATAGTAGCTTAAAACAGCTATTTCATTTAGCTCACAATTCTGCGAGTGGCTGGGATGGCTGGGTTGGCTGGCATCTCTCCCACATGGTCTCTCATGCTATGTCAATAGGCTGGTCCAGGATCATCAGATGATGGTCTCAGGGTTTCCAGCAACAAGAGGGCAAGTCCTAATGCATGAGCGCTTTTCACAGCCCTGCGTATGTCACATTTCATATTGTCCCTTTGGCTAAAGAAGTCACGTATCCCTGCCTAGATTTAAGAGGATAAATAGACTTCACTTCTGATATGAGAAAAGGCGAAATTATGCCACAAAAGGGTATGCATAGAGGAATGGGAGGGATTTGTGGCCATTTTTGCAACATATTTTAGTGACCTATGGGTAAATATTATTTTTTTCTATATGCCTATACAATTGACCTGCCATATTTATTGAAAAGACCATTTATTCCCCCACTCAATTGCAAAGTTAACTTAACAAATAGCTTGTCTGGGACTGCTTCTGAAGACTTCATTCTGTTCCACTGGGTTATTTATCTACCTTTGAGTCGATAATAACTATTTTAATAATTAATGCTTCATAATTTATTTTGATACCTGACAGTGTAAGTCCTTTAGCCTTGTTGATTTTTCAAGAGGGTCTTAGCTATTCTTGGCCACTTGTATTTCCATGTAAATTTTAGAGTCCACCTGCCAATTTCCACAAAAAAAATCTGTTGAAATTTTTATTGGGATTTTATTGGATCTGTAGATCCATTTGGGATAATTTGCCTCTCTGAGTTTTCCCATCTATGAACAAGGTACATATCTCTGTTTATTTGGGATTCGTTTTATTTCTGTTAATGTTTTTTATTTTACTCAATAGAATTCTTATGTCTGTTCCATTATCTTTATTCTTAAGCAAATGAAGTTTTTTTTCTTTCATTCTTTTCTGTTTATGTTCGGAATGTTGTTACATTTTTTCATTAACTTTTTGAAAATGTTTTCTCCAGTGAGTTTTTATTATCTGCAGGAAAGTTACACCATTCTTTTTCATCACTTTCTTACTGAGTTTGACAAAACTCTCTCAATAAATAAAATATCAGATAAAAAATCGGTAAGGATACAGGAGATGTGAGTAATACAGAAAAAAATTGAACTAATGGATACTTACCCAAAATCTTCGTATGGAGGCAGAATATGTTCCTCTTATTCTATCTATATTTGAATAAGGTGAATTTTCCCACCTGGCAGCAGGTGGTTCTGGCAGTGTGGATATTTTGGGGGTGAAATGAAAGTGCGTCAGAGTGAATATCCTGGTGCTCCCTTCTCTATTTCAGCAAAGGTCTTAATAAATGGCCCCTCTCTGTTCTCACTTTTTCTCTGGCTTTCAGACCTTACATGAATACAGAAGAGTTTCTATCCCCAGCTCTGAGCTTTTCAGATCTCTTCACATTCTTTATTTCCAAAATATTGGACTCACCTTTAGAAGTTGGGTTTTGCTGAAGCTTTCAAGTGCAGGTACATCTGCTATCTCTTGTATTTTCTGAACTTACTTTTTGCTCACTTCTGGGTACTTTCTGGACATACTGTCTCTACCCTTTCATAATAATCATACTCTGTTCAATCTCAAAAGAGTCTTCTCACAGGTAGGGACTTCTCCTTTGGGTGGGAATATTTGATTAAAGTTTCTGGGGACTTCCTGTCCCTAGGCACTTTTACACTTTTGTTCTTTCTCAAAGCCTACCCCTGTGGGTTTTTTTTAGTCTAGTATTGCCTCTCTAGCACATTCATACTATTTGGAATAATACTAGAACTTCCTGTATTTTATTATATGCGTAGTGAGAATTAATCATATATTATTTCTACAACTGAAATAAGGAAAGAAGAAAAAATGCTTCATTTCTTAAGCTTTTGAAGAGGAAAGAAGACATGGTTATAAGTATCTGTAGGCTGGGGATGGTGTTGCATGCCTGTAATCCCAGCACTTTGGGAGGCTGAGGCTGGTGGATTTCTTGAGCCCAAGAGTTTGAGACCAGCCTGAGAAACATAGTGAAACCCTGTTTCTCCAAAATAAATAAATAAATAAATAAATATTACAAAACATTAGCCAGCGATGGTGGCTTGCGCTTTTGGTCCCAGCTACTATGGAGGCTGAGATAGGAGGATTGCCTTAGCCAGGGAGGTCAAGGCTGCAGGGAGCCATGATGGTGCCACTGCATTCCAGGCTGGGCAACAGAATGAGACCCTGTCTCAGAAAATAAATAAATAAAAAAAAATATGTGATCTGATACTTAGCCAAGTTGTTAAAAGAGCATTTGTATTATAAACTGATGGAAACATAAATTTGGTGTTTAATCACACATAATACAGACTCTCCCAATACAGGCTCTTGCTGCCAAGTAGTGGTGTTAACCAAATTTCTCCCAACCATTCCATTTACTCTGGAGACAGCTCTAAGTTGTTCTATTTTTAAAATCTCTTTAATTTAAAACCCATAGTTCTCTATTTCATTAACAGATTTTATCTTGATTTTCTCTTTAGTGCAGATCAAAGTAAATTTTGTTGTTTATCAAAATGAAACTCATACATTTTCTTTTATAGTGAAGTTTATGATTTTCTAGAGCATTGTGATATGATTTTGAGGCAAAAGTTTACAAATATTTTCTTTGGTTCAATTTCAAATTAATGAAATTTATAAATTGAGTTTTAAGCCATTTATGTTATTTTTCAGTGTGGAACCCAGATAGAAATTCAATGATTAACCTTGCTCTGACATAACTCCTTCAGAGATCAAAGAATAACTTGTTAAGCACTTAGAAAATACAACAGTTTTGTTAAAACCCATACAACCCTGAACTGTTTAGAATTTCCAGTTACCTGTCAGACTTTGAACTAGGGAAAAGGGACAAATTTAAAGGACTGAACAAAACACCTGTCTAACTTCTCTATTGACAATGATAAAACATTAATTCATAGATATCCTGCACATGAGTGTTTTACTCAAAATATTACAATGCAGGTTTCATGATAGTTTTGCAGAATATTTACATTATTGTAATGTTATTTTTTTGAAAACAAAATGATCTACATTGTCTCAAATAAAAATTGGTAAACACTGAGATCTGATCTTTTCTCCATATTATATATTCCTAGAGTGTCTTGTATACTGTTCCAGTACTTTACAGTTTAAATGATTTAATTATTTTGAAACAGTTTGTTTAATGTCTACTTTGTCCAGCTATGTCATTGGTTACACAGAAAAAGATTTCGTCTGTTTTTGTCAAAAACTATCTCCACTTCCTAGGACAGTGTCTAGCAGTCAGTGTCTATTTATTGGCTAACAAACATTGAGCTGGATAAAAGTGTGTTGAAGTCTTTTCAGCATCTGTGAGTTAGGCATGTGATGGAGAGCTTAGAATCGAAAATCACAGATAAACACTCTAATATTCATAGGTTTACTCAAACTCTTCTTCAAAAGCTGCTCTTTCAATAGCTACTGCAGTTAGGATTTCCATGTAACTGCTCATAAATAGCACTTATTATAACGTACCTCCCTCTAAAATATGCTGCTCTGTTCCATCTATTTCTTTTCTAGTCTTTTGCTACCATTATATTATCTTTTCTATTAGACAATGGGCATCTTTAGGGTAAGGACTTGGTATTTCCTGTAAGGACTCAGAAATATTTCTTGATTAACTGATAGATTGAATGGATAAAAAAATCACCACCCCATTATTAATATGAATGTCCTTATTAAGAGGATTCCTACATAGAAACGAATTAAAAAGCAAAAGTTACACTTTGATTTAAACATATTGCTTCTGGTCTTCTTTATGTGGAGAGAAAAATTATAAAATACTTAATATATTAAAAAATGATTTGTTTGTAAATAAAACTAACTCAAACTCAATATTCAAATAAATTATAGCATCATTTAAGCTCTCTCTTTAAAAATAAACTATCTTAAATTTACATATACATGTTAGAAATGTCTCAAATTTTGAGAATGAATGTTGGTGATCGATATAGTTTGGCTGTGTCCCCCCACAAACCTCATCAGTTGTAATCCAAATTGTAATCCTCACATGTTTTGGGGAGGGACCTGTTGGGAGGTGACTGGCTCATCGGGATGGTTTCCCCCATGCTGTTCTCATGATAGTGAGTAATTTCCCACAAGATCTGGTTGTTTCAGTGTCTGGCACTTTCCGCTTTGCGCTGTATCTCCCCGCTCCCCCAACTCTCTGTCTTGCCTGCCCATCATGTAAGACGTGCCTTGCGACCCCTTCCCCTTCTGCCATGATTGTAAGTTTCCTAAGGCCTCCCCAGCTATATGGAACTGTGAGTCAATTGAACCTTCTTTCTTTATAAATTACCCAGTCCCAGTGAGAACAGACAAATATAGTGATTAATCCGGGTAAAATCATCTTATTGTTACAATTTAACAAGACTACTATTCTCATGAGAATTATGATCAGACTCTGAAGGGATTTTAAAGGAATATTTTCAAAAAACATTTTTAGTGATGATTTTTTATTGAAATAAGTGTATAATGTTTCTGGTTGAGTACTTGAAGGAAGGTTGGCTGACAAATTTCACAGTTGTCTACTAATAAAGTCCCATTATAGTGTGAGTATAAAATATTTGTGCAATACCTCTGAATTTATAAAGTATATTTTCATGCTGCATATCAGAGAATTCTCAAAACCATGTGAGTTATTTAGTATCTTCTTTATTTTACAAAACAGAAAATTGAAGTAACAGAGGCATTAAGGGGTTACTCGTGACCTCCTATTTTTACACTACAGATTTTACACCCTAACTTTTTGAGGAAAGGTTGGACACTGTTCTTTGTGTTTGAATAGGTGTCTTTCCTAGATAAACAACACAGGTTAGGATGGTTTGGTTTCTTACATACAGGGATATAGAAGCTAAGTACTACAAAGCAGTGTGTCTACCATCCCAAGATACAATCAAAGGTCAATAGAAAAGGAAACAGAATCTGCCTCACGTTGTGGTTAAGTTCTCAAAGATGTTTAAAAATGCTTTCTTCAGTTTAACTCCTTTTTTTAGTGGTATGAGCCTCTTAGCCACCAAACTGTGAGTTTTATTGGTGTATATAATCACAGGAGAAAAATCTGTAAAATTTGAAAAATCCATGTTTCTTTTCTTCCTCAGACTCTCTCTTTCTTTCTCTCTCTCTTCCTTCATACATGCATATCATGTAAAATATACAAGATACTATACAATTAATCATTTGTTTGCTTATCTACCCATTGCTAAGCTATTAATTTTGAGGCCCTTGTTCATTGAGAAGTTGCTGGGACATTTGGGAAGGAATGCTTTTACTGCAAAAGAGAAACTTCAGATAATGTCATCTATATAGATTTTGGACTTTTACTTTAGTTACAGTAGGATTTTATCAAGCAATACGCTTTCTTTTACCAAATGTATGGCTTGAGAAAAGGATTTGAAAGGAATGGTTCATCCAGGGTCACTTAAGAGCTTCAAAATGACCCTAGAGGGCAACTGTGGCATTTGGATTACCAAAAGAAATAAACACGTCTAAGAAAATTTCAACTTGTTGTTATCTAAATTTAAGACATTGACAAGCATTTGACCTTGATGGTCCCAGTAAAAAGTGATGGTAAACATATGAAGAAGTATTGCTTTTCTTTGTTTCTCTTTCTCTATTGCCCAAACTTAAAGCAACATTGAGTAAGATTAGAAGTTTTTCTCTTATTTATATATAATAGTTGTACATAGTTTTTAGAACTTTTTGATTGTAACATTCTCAATGCTATCAGAAATGAAAAGGGCAGTATTCATTTCATATCTTGAACCACTAACATGCTGATTATTTAAATTTGTGTTCATAAGGTATAATAAAAGTGTTTTACATTTTAGAATTCTAGTTTCTTTCATGCAGAGGGTCTCTAGAAGGAAAATTCTAGAAAATGATACCATCACCTCTCTGTGATATCCCAATTTATTGTAGAACTTGGAATCCCATGTAAAAGAAATAAAAAATATTTAGTTTATTTTGGGTAGAATTAAGAATAAAATAATAAACAAAATTAGTATTAATATTCAGTATTTGACTAGGTGGAAATTATAGAATCTTCTACATAACCTTAAGGTCTGTATTTACCATCTCATTGCCAATTAATTATCAATTACTTAAGCAAATATTGCACCACTGTTTGCCAGGCTCTGTTATAGGCTCTTGTGATTTATAGGTTAATAAAACATATAAATTCTGCCCACCAAGCATTTACATATAAAGTGTACAAACATTTGATACATACTTATACTGTGTTGAAATGTATGTAAACTGGCTGGACTCGGTGGCTCACGCCTGTAATCCCAGCACTTTGGGAGGCCGAGGCGGGCGGATTACTTGAGGTCAGGAATTCAAGACCAGCCTGGCCAACATGGTGAAACCGTCTCTACTAAAAATACAAAAAAATTAGCTTGGCCTGGTGGTGGGCGCCTGTAATCCCAGCTACTAGGGAGGGTGAGGCAGGAGAATCGCTTGAACTCGGGAGACGGAGGTTGCAGTAAGCCAAGATGGAGCCATTGCACTTCAGCCTGGGCAAGAAGAGTGAAACTCTGTCTCAAAAAAAAAAAAAGTGTGTAAACATTTAATAGATTTTATAACACAGCAAATAATGCCAGTGGTGCATCTAAAAGGTTTAAGGAGCCATTGGAAACACAGCATATAAAGTCACAATGTTGGAGAGCCTTTTATTCATTATCCAACAAATATTTTGTGAACTTACCAAAGATGGAAATGCTATATTGAACACTTTCTGTACTGATTTTAGTGATTCTAAGAATCACAGATTTGTAAATCATATAAATGTAATAACCTGGTGTGGAAGATGGATGAGAAAAACTCAGTGACGGCACTAATCCATGCAATTGCTGTGATAATCATCAATAATGTAGTGCATTTTTTTTTTTCTTGATGAAGTGGACTTGTCAAGCCATAGAACAGTGTGGTTTATAGTAGCTAGAATCTGCACACACCATTTGGGTCAAGCCAAAATGTCCCTGATGGGCATCATGCTCTACTGGTCAAAGGAGAGTTGAAAAAGAAATGTTACTGTCCCCCCCGCCCCCAGGAATGTTTTTTTTTACATTGTGGTTTCAGAATGTCGCTAGAAAAATACAAATATTTTATTGAATGCTTTTATACATTGTGGTTTCAGAATCTCTAGAAAAATACAAATATTTTATTGAATGCTTTTTTATATTGTGGTTTGAGAATATCTCTAAAAAATACAATATTTTATTGAATGCTTTTTTATATTGTGGTTTCAGAATATCTCCAGAAAAATACAAATATTTTATTGAATGCTATTTTACTTTGTAGTTTCAGAATGTCTCTAGAAAAATACAAATATTTTATTGAATGCTTTTTTACATTGTGATTTAAGAATATCTCTAGAAAAATGCAAATATTTTATTTAAATAAAAAACATGACTTCACCAAGTAAATTATATATCCTACATTAATTTTAAAAACATTCTTGGCCGGGCACGGTGGCTCTCGCCTGTAATCCGAGCATTTTGGGAGGCCGAGGCAGGCAGATCATGAGGTCAGGAGTTTGAGACCAGCCTGGCCAACATGGTGAAACCCCGTCTCTACTAAAAATACAAAAAACAGCTGGGCGTGGTGGCAGGCGCCTATAGTCCCCGCTACTTGGGAGGCTGAGGCAGGAGAATCATCTGAACCCGGGAGGTGGAGGTTACAGTGAGCCGAGATCACGCCATTGCACTCCAGCCTAGGTGACTCTGACTCAAAAAAAAAAAAAAAAAATTGTAGGCTTTAAAAATATTATTAAATGATTTATTTATATATTTATATTTTTGCATTTAGAAATATGTTGAAAAAAGGAAAAAATTAGGTGAATTTAAGAACATATAAAAAAGATTTAAATATCTTCCTTCTACATTGATAAATAATAGAATCGATGGTTATTTAAATGACTATATCTGATTGTTTAGACACATTAAGTGAGGCAACTTAGCTCAGATAAAGTCACTCCAACAATCCCCTTCAAAAAGCCAGCAATTCACCCAAATTAACCATTTTAATAAAAGAGAACCTCTGTTCCTGTTGCTTTTATCACAGAATCGGGATGTGGGGGGTGAGGGACAAACTATAGAATAAGCTTTTATAAACACACAAAATGATATTTTCCTTTAGAATGGGAAAGGAAAGTTTCATTGAAAAGTACACATCTCAGGTAAAGCTAGTTTTACTTTTATTCTTCGTCTTCTTAAAGCTGGCTGTAGAGAAGCTCATTGTGTTGCCCTGTACTTTTTGTTCAAGGCACCTGAGCAATACACAATGTATCACTTATCGGTAGAACAAAAGACTCCTTCATCAGTCAGACTCGGGGGAAGAGGACAGCTGCAGACTCAGAACTGCACTAGGCAGGTACTTTGCTTGAGACAGAACAGGAAGTAGACCATTCACGTGGACCTTCATGTCTAACCCTATTTAATTTGACTCAAGCAAGATTAGTCTCTTTCAAAACGTATCTATGTTTAATGGTAATCTTAGATGTTTGTTTCTTATTAGAGACTTGGTTCAGAAAATGCAGAAAACGCGTTGTATTATGTGGGTTTTGCAGTAGAAACAATAGCTATTTTTATTTAGCTGAAGAGTGCTGCTATAGACAGATTTCTACATTGTAGAAAAATATCTTTATTGCAAAAATTACAATATAAAAATCATATTTTTTTAACTGAATGTAAGACCGAAGAAAATCAGGAAGGTTTTGTGCTATTGATAGTGTAAACGAACATTAAAAAAAAACTTTCATTGTCCTGCAAAGACACAATTAAAATTGACAGTTTAATCTAAATGCGAATCTTATCATTGAATATACTGTTTTTCCTTTAATGTATATGTGTGTGTGTGTATATATATATACACACACATCCTTTTAGGATTCTAAGACTATACTCAGATTTCCATTAAATTAAAAAAATCACTTTCGAAGGTTATTAAAATGTAGAAACCCAAATTCTTGAGAAATCATGAAAGAAATAACTGTTTCCTTAATAATTCAAGGATTTCTTAGCTGCTGTGTAGGCTACCCCCATGGGATAATTTAATACAGAATATTTCATGCAAGTCAGCAGTCATCACATTTTTCTTTCATTCTGTTGAGTGTGTCTCTGACATAAATGTTTGAGTAATCACACATTAGAATAATAAAATATATTGATGCTTATGCCATCATTTACTCCATGACAATAGTATAAACAGAATGTCGTCATATATTTGCAGTATGAATAATTGCAGGACCTCATTAATTTGGGGTGCCTTGAGGAAGGAAAGAGAATCTATATTAAAAAATTTAGAAAAACAAAAAAAATTTGTCAAACTACTTACAGGTATAGCCTGACTCTTAAGTGACTTAGAGACTTAAAGGCAGGGCATACAGCGGTTCTTGTTTGAATAAATAGTTCAAAATTGTTTATAGTTAGCATATTCATTTTTTGCCAGTGGATGCCTCTATCTGGTTGAAAACTTTTCTTTCTACAGTAATGTCTTGATCTCCTACAATATTTCTGGCACTGATTTGGATAAGGAGGATAGCTGTAAATAAAATGATTTATTTTCAGTAGCTTGATCACAAAGGCTGTGAGACATTTTGTATTAGTCATTTAAATCACTGAATGGTTAAAATTGACTTTATCACAGTATAATTATAAACTTGGGTTTTGTGCAGATCTAACTTTTCATTTAGTGTTTTCTCGTTTGTGTAGGTTAGAAAATTGCTTCCCAGTTAAACAAGTAGTACCTAAAATTTCAAATTGGTATTGCTATAATCTGGCAGGTGATTATGTGTGCATGAATATCTTATATCTATCAATTTCATATACAGATTGCCTGTATATATTTAAATATAGGTGTCTATATCCATATACATATATTATCTATTTATAGACATACAGATGCTCCTCTTCTTACAATGGGGTTATGTCCTGATAAATCTATTGTCAAGTTCAAAATATTGTGAATTGAAAATGTATTGAATACATGTAGCCAGTGAACATTATAGTTTAAATGGGCTGACCTTACACGTGCTCAGGACATTAACATTAGCCTACAGTTGGGCAAAATCATCTAATAGAGAGTCTATTTTATAATAAAGTGTGGAATAGCTCATGTGATGTATTGAATACTGTACTGAATATGAAAAACGGAATGGTTGCATGAGTAGTCGAAGTGCAGTTTATACTGAATGTGTATTGCTTTTGCACCATCATAAAGTTGAAAAATTGTTAAGTTAAATCAGGGGTGTCAAATCTTTTGGCTTCCCTGGGCCACATTGAAAGAAGAATTGTCTTGGGCCACACATAAAATACTCTAACGCTAACAATAGCTGATAAGCTAAAAAAAAAAAAAAAAAAAAAAAAAAAAAAAAGAAAGCTCGAAAACATCTTGTAACGTTTTAAGAAGGCCCAATTTATGTTGGGCCACATTCGAAGCCGTCCTGGGCTTCATGCAGCCTATGGGCTGCAGGTTGGATGAGCTTGAGTTAAACCATCATAAGCTGGGGACAGTCTGTGTAGATATAGACATATACACCCTGGTCCGTATACCAAAGGCCCAATTAAACTGATATTACAGAATTCCGAAAAGCATAATATACCTTGCTTCTTTAAAAATATTCCCTTTTTGTTTACTTTACATGAGATTCTTGTTAAATGGAAATTTAAAAATCAAAGCAGTCAAAAAGAGTTTGAATTGAAAATTGGATTCTGAAGGTTTTTGTTCTTGTTGAGGACTTATTTCTTTAGGCATTTCTGCTTTTGGTAACGTTACTTGGATATTATTATGTTACATTCTCCCCCATGATCTACCTCCCTGTGGTTCTCCTCGCCTTCTATTTCAAAAGCAGCCAACTCACTTGTCTCCTGGAACAATTATCTTCCTTTATCTACAGCTAGATGTAGAATTTAAGCAGGAATGATTTTTCAGAATACTCCAAATTTTTTTTTGTTTTGTCCCATTCTCAGACTGCCTGATCCATGTCTCCTGATCATAGTATATTTAGAAGCCATGCACATCTTTTTTTCAGTTTATCCTTTAAAAACTATTGATCAAAACTTGAGACATTTTTAGTAATTTTTAGTAATACTTCCCATTCTCTTCTTACTCCCATGGCTACTTTTGTGGCTATTAGTAAGTAGTTCACTTTTTATGATGAAATAGAAATGACTCCTGATAAGGGTGAGAATGTATGTAGTGGTACCATGAATGTTCAAATCATTCCATATGTCCCTATAAACTTTTGCTGAAATATCTCTCAAAAGACAATCTTGATTATTAGACAAAATGTTAACTTTTTTTTCAGTTTCCAGAGGCTTATTTTGTTTTATTTTTTGTTATTTTGGGTATAGATGTCTTGTTATGTTTCCCAGGCTGACCTTGAACTCCTGGGCTTAAGTGATCCTCCAGCCTCAACCTCCAGAGTAGTTGGGATTTTAGGCATGGGCCACTGTGCCTGGTTTCATTTGTTTTGGTATTATTCTTCTTCCAGGGAAATAATTTTTGTAAATTGCATCATATGTTGAAAAAATGGAAATTATCAGTATGTTAATGAGAAAAGTAGAAAAATAGAAAATGTAAAAGGAATCATTCTTAACAGTTAACTTAGAATGACTGCTTCATTCATGAATGAGTATAACAGCTCTGTAGGCAACTTCTAGTAATTATCACTCTTAAAATAATAATGGTACCTTAAAACGGCTAATCATGATGGCATTTGAATTTCAACTTTAAAATAATTATGTCATGTCATATTTCTTTACACTTATTTCTTCAATCACCTACTATGGTCAAGACACCATGGGAAAGGGACCTACTTACAGAAGGTGCAGTGGAGACCATCACAGAGACAGACACTCACCAGGAGAGGGAGGGACAACACCAAGCATGTCCTTCCATGAGAAGGAACAGCCCCAGGTGACAGGCGGGGAGTAGGGAATCTGAGATGACTTCTACAATGTGTTCATAAAACAATGTGTCATAAATCTCATGAGAGAAGCCCACAAAAAATTATGGGAAGTCAGAGAGGAGATGCTAATAGAAACTGTGTTCGCTCATAGCAGCTGCATAATGGTATTTCTTAGAGTGTTTTTCAGAACAATCAAATTGGTGTTATATGGGCTCTTACTAAAAATGCCAACTGAGCCCCACCTAAAACTTGCTCATTTCTAATTTCAGGGAATCTCTGCCCTGGAATTTTGGAGCTCAAGGAGTGGTATCTTTGAGTCCACTTTCCTCCTTGTGCAGGGAGGGGAAGTGAGAATGGGAGACACTGGATGGCTCTAAGATGAATTTCCCCTCCCCCATACTCTTGAGACCATTTCTACTCTGGGCACCTGGGGCTTGCTGTTATCCATCTGCATTTGGTGCTTTGCAGTTCTCGTCAGGACATGGGGCTTCCTTAGCACTCCCTCCATTTCAAGTGCTCTCCTGTCTTGGTTTTCTTACCATTGCTGCGTTCTGCATCTCCTCTCTTTCTTTTTCAGCTTCCCTTAAGCCTTCTTTATTGGCTCCTCTTCCCCTGCCTTTCCTGGAATGGTTGGACGTCTGTAGAATTCTGCCTAGATCCTCCCGATTTGCTCATTTTTACTTCGGGAATGTATGAGTCTCCTTTCATGTGTGCCTTATCCAATGCAGCAGCCCTCAATATCTGCCTACCTCTTCAGCTAAGATCATGTCAAATTTTACTTTTTTAGTTTGCATTAGTTGTATTGACTATGTTTTAACAACTATACAACTGATGAAAATCATAGCCTCTCCTCCTCTTACTAGTACTTAGGCTGGAAAAATCATGGTTTAAGTACTCCAAACTGCAATTTCATCTGCTCTCATGGCTTTAGCTATGGCCTCTATACTAAAAAGTCCCATATCTATTACTTATTCTGAGATGTCTTTCATTTCCAACTTTTCTGTATTCATGTCTGAAGTATTTTCTGCTTTAAATCTGGCCTTTCTCTTTCATGAAATGTGCATGTATGTGTGTGCATGTGTGTGTGTATACATACATGTCTCCACTCATGTCTTGTATCCATTTGATCACTTATTCCCATTAATTCTATTTCTGAAATTCTCTTTCTCTCTTCCACTCCTTTTCACTTCTTTCTTGTCTGGACTATTTTATTTTGTTTCCCAACTGCTCTTCTAATGGGCAGTTCTGTCACTTCCTAGATATCCTATTTCTTCATGTTGCTTTTAGAGTTATTTTTTTGATAATTGAAGTTTTTCTTTTACAAATTTAAGCCATCAGTGTCTAAACAAACCTCAATGTGTCAAAAAAAAAGGAAAAAAAAAACACAACAAAACCTGTCACAAACTGGCCCCAACCTACCTAGGCAGCCTCACTTCTCTTTGCTGGTCACCTCCTTATTAGTTCAGAAGAATTAATAATCACATAGATGCTGCACATAGTGGATACTTGGTAAATGATTGTTGGTGAGTGAAAAATACTTTTTAGGTGCATTAACCAACTAGCAATAGAAAAACTTTTCCCCTAGACAAATAGAAATGTGTGAATTCTGTAGTGATGCAAGGGTCCAATTCATTGGCTGTTAAACTTTAGTGAGCATTGGAATTCCCCAGTGGGCTTGTCAAAACCCACATTGCTGGGCCCCACCCCCAGATTTTTGTTTCAAAAATCTGGTCTCAAAGAAGTCTGAGACAAGGTCCCATGATGGTGATGTTTCTAGTCTGGGGACCACATTTTATAATCTACTAGTCTAGTTAATACTACTTAAATGGTTAACTAAAAGTCATTAGCTTTTTTTGTTGTTGTTCCTCTACACATCTAATTAAAGAGTCTACTCTTGTTTATGGCACCCGATATGGTTTGGCTCTGTGTCCCCACCCAAATCTCTCCTTGAATTGTAATAATCTCCATGTGTCAAGGGTGGGGCCAGGTGGAGATAATTGAATCATGGAGGCAGTTTCCCCCTTACTGTTCTTGTGATAGTGAGATATACAAGATCTGATGGTTTCATAAGCATCTGGCATTTCCCCTGCTTGTACATTCTCTCTTTGCCTGCTGCCATCCATGTAAGATGTGACTTGCTCCTTTTTGCCTTCCACCAATTGTGAGGCTTCCCCAGCCATTTGGAAATGTAAGTAGATTAAACCTCTTTCTTTTGTAAATTGCCCCATCTCAGGTATGTCCTTATCAGCAGCATGAAAATGGACTAATACAGTAAATTGGTATCTGTAGAGTAGGGCATTGACAAAAAGACAACCAAAAATGTGGAAGCAACTTTGGAACTGGGTAACAGGCAGAGAGTGGAACAGTTTGGAGGGCTCAGAAGAAGACAGAAAAATGTGGGAAAGTTTGAAACTTCCTGGAGACTTGCTGAACAGCTTTGACAAAAATGCTGATAGTGATATGAACAATAAGGTCCAGGCTGAGGTGGTCTCAGATGGAGATGAGGGGCTTGTTGGGAACTGGAACAAAGGTGACTCTTGTTATGTTTCAGCAAAGAGCCTGGTGGCATTTTTCCCCTGCCCTAGAGGTTTGTAGAACTTTGAACTTGAGAGAGATGATATAGGGTATCTGACAGAAGAAATTTCCAAGCAACAAAGCATTCAAGATGTGACTTGGGTGCTGTTCAAGGCATTCAGTTTTATAAAGGAAGCAGGGCATAAAATTTCAGAAAATTTGCAGCCTGAAAATGTGATAGAAAAGAAAATCCAATTTCCTAAGAAGCAATTCAAACTGACTGCAGAAATTTGCATAAGAAACAAGGAGCCGAATGTTAATCCCCAAGACAATGGGGAAAATGTCTCCGGGACATGTCAGAAGTCTTCACAGCAGCCCCTCCCATCACAGGCCTATAGGCCTAGGAAGAAAAATGGTTTTGTGGGCCAGGACCAGGTTCCCTGTTTTGTGCGCAGTCTAGGGACTTGGTGTCTTGCATCTCAGCTGCTCCAGCCATGACTAAATGCGGCCAAGGTAAAGCTTGGGCCATGGCTTCAGAGGGTGCAAGTTCCAAGCCTTGGAAGCTTCCACCTGGTGTTGAGCCTGTGGTGCAAAGAAGTCAAGAATTCAGGTTTAGAAACCTCCGCCTACTCTGCCTAGAGTCCCTACTGGAGTGCCACTCAGTGGAGCTGTGAGAAGAGGGCCACTTTCCTCTAGACCCTAGAACGGTAGATCCACCCACAGCTTGCCCCATGCACCTGGAAGAGCCACAGACACTCAACACCAGCCTGTGAAAGCAGCCAGGAGGGAGGCTGTACCCTGCACAGCCATAGGGATGGAGCTGCCTAAGACCATGGAAACCCACCTCTTGCATCAGCATGACCTGGATGTGAGACCTGGAGTCAAACGGTATCATTTTGGAGCTTTACAATTTGACTGCCCTGCTGGATTTCAGACTTGCATGGGCCCTGTAGATCCTTTGTTTTGGCAAATTTCTCCCATTTGGAATGGCTGTATTTACCAAATACCTGTACTCACATTGTATCCAGGAAGTAACTAGCTTGCTTTTGATTGTACAGGCCTTGTCTCAGATGAGACTTTGGACTTTTTGATTAATGCTGGAATGAGTTAAGACTTTGGGGGACTGTAGGGAAGGCATGATTGGTTTTGAAATGTGAAGATATGAGATTTGGGAGGGGCCAGGAGTAGAATGATATGATTTGGCTCTGTGTCCCCACCCAAATCTCACCTTGAATTGTAATAATCCCCACGTGTCAAGTGTGGGGCCAGGTGGAGATAATTGATTCATGGGGGTGGTTTTCCTATACTGTTTTCTTGATAGTGAGTTCTCACAAGATCTGATCATTTTATAAGCATCTGGCATTTCCTCTGCTCATACATTCTCTCTTTGCCTGCTGCCATCCATGCAAGATGTGATTTGCTCCTCCTTGCTTTCTGCCATGATTGTGAGGCTTCCCCAGCCATGTGGAACTATGTCAATTGAAACTTTTTCTTTTGTAAATTGCTCATTCTTAGGTATGTCTTTATCAGCAGCATGAAAACGGACTAATACAGCACCTATATGCCATGTACATAATTTCTGCTGATATTGTGAAGTCTTCCAAGGCCTCCTGTGATGGTTAATTTTGTGTTATCTTGGCTATGCCATGGTATGTACATATTTGGTCAAACACCAGTCTACATGTCTCTGTGAAAATCTTTTCAAAATTTAAATCAGTAGATTTTGAGCAAAGCAGATGTCCCTCTGTAATGGGAGTGAGCTTCATCCAATCAGTTGAAGGCCTTGGGAGAAAAGACTGAGGCCCCTGAGGAAGAGAAATTGTGCTTTCAGATTGCAACATCAATTCTTTCCTGGGTGTCCAGAGTGCTGGCCTGCCTTGCAGACTTTGGACTTGCTAGCCCCTACAATTGTGTGAACCAATTCCTTAAAATCTTTCTCTACTTTCATGTCTCATTCATTTTTTTTTTTTTTTTTTGGTTATTTGGAGAACTCTGACTAATATACCCTCTATGTCCTTAACCAAGGAGGCTGCAGGATTGGAAATTATCAAGAATCTACTCTCTGTCTTTGCCATGCAAAAGACTTAAAGACTAGAAATCTCTTAGTATTTCAGCTGGGATATGATATAAGCAATAATCAAATGTAAATTACATCATGTATTTGGGTGCTAAAATTTTTAATCTTTGTTTAGATGATACAGTCCTACTGAATTTTTCTTGATTTGGCTTTTTAGAAAAATACCAAGCATACAAGTGAAATATAATTGAATACAAAAGAAGAAATGAAGAAATGTGCTTTTTTTCTTTCAAATGCTGAAATTTTTTATTAGCTGGTCAAGGTCAGTTAGCAAGAGGGACAAAATTAATGGTCACTACAGCCACTAACAAAACAGGGACAGTGAAACTAGTTTCACTCTTTTTCCCAATATCTATAAATGAATATCTTAGCAGTAGTTGTGTCTTTATGTTAGTTTTATAAGTAGATACTATTTCAAGGAAAAATTGAATCCTGGTGAAGTAAAATGGAAAAGTAATGAAAATGTGTTTCCATCTCAAGCTTCCTGTTCATTTCAAGAAAATTATTTTCTCGTTGTACCTTAGTTGTAGCTACCGCAGTGGCATAATTATTTCTTAGTGGAAAGAAGGGATCAGCAATGGGACAGCATTTTGTGCAGTTTCACACTAAGGAACATGATCATCAATTTTTTTTTCTTTTCTCTAGCTTATACTAACAGGAATGCAAGGATTACACAAAATAATTGCATACTTGATCACTTCCTGACAATATAAGATGTCACTGAACACAATGGCAGGGCCTATTTCCAAATGACTGCGGACTTTTTGGTTTGGCCTATGAAGATAAATCACATAAGCTTCTTAAAGCTGGAATCATAATCTTTCAAGATTAAAATGATGAAAGCTTTAAAGCTGGCCTGATGCCAAATTTCAATTTCCTGTTGTGCCTTTGGGGCATAATGTGGCGAATATTGGAAAACTGTTCTTTTCAATGGTTTTTCAGATACTTTTGTGCAATTCTTTCTAACTTAGCTACTGTCATATTTTAAAAGCTGGCCAGTTTTTGGTAGTTACTATGTACTAAGAAACCTGACACTTTAGTATTGTTTTCTGATTTATTAGTAATGAGACCGTGTAGAGTTGAGTCTAAGAGCACAGATTTTGGACAGAGAGAAGAATACGTTTTTCTTTTATTAGTTTAGTGATTAATTCAGTGATAACTTGGGGCAAGTTAATTAGCATCTAGCTAAAAATTATAAATAAAGGTGCTATAAGAATCATCTCGAATGAGATGGTGCATGTACTTACTGTGTTGGTTGTCTATATTTTAAATAAAATCTCTAGGTAATTCTCATGCAAACTAAAAGCTGAGAACCACACTGATGAGAGGAGCTAGATATGCATTGTTTAGAGAATACTGAAAGTTTCCCTGAGTTCGTTCAATACCTGGCAGACACATTCATACATTTGATTCTCTCTCCATTCCTTGTAGGAGATGATTTCTGGATACCCATTAGCCTCAAAATCTTCCCCTGAATATACTATATTTCTTTATTTTTTGTTTAATATATGCATCACCTCACATACTCTACTTTTCAATGCCCTAATGAGGCACAGGGTAAAATGTCCTATAAAATAAATGGGTACATACAAGGAGTTTTCTCTAACAATAGGCCCTAACCATGTCATTTTCTTCTTATTGGTAGGTTTAACAAGAATTATGCTCTTCTATGCATAATTGAACCTGAATTAACAAGTTTATTTATTCATTTACTTTGAGACAGAGTCTCACTTTGTCTCCCAAGCTAGGGTGCAGTGGTGCAATCACAGATCACTGCAGCCTTGACTTCCTGGGTTTAAGTGATCCTCCTGCCCCAGTCCCCCAAGTAACAGGGACCACAGGTGCACACCCGATGCCCAGCGAATTAAAAAATTTTCCTGTAGAGATGAAGTCTCACTATGTTGCCCAGGCTGGTTTTGAACTTTTAAGCTCAACCAATCCTCCCCTGTGAGCCTCCCAAAGTGCTGGGATTACAGGTGTGAGCCACCACACCCGGCCCTAAATTAATACTTTTAGAGCCACTTGAATTTGGCCTGCTTGCATCAAAGGGCAGCTCAACACCTGAAGTGCTTTTATCTTCTCACATCTGTTGCTTGTGACCTCTTTTGCAATCAGTTTATAAAGTAATTCTCTATGAATTTTAACTCTTTCCTTCTTGTATCTATCAAGGATATTGAACTTAAAGAGTAAGGGACAATTACTTAGAATCTGAGTGTGAAAGATTCATAGCTAATTTCTGTTTGAAAAAGAAATGTTCTTTCTTCCTTAAAGAAAATAAACTTTATTTTGACAGGTAATTTTCTGGGTAGCCACTAATATATGTATATATTTTATTTACTTATCCATTTATTATAATTATTTTCATTTATTCACTGGTTTCATGTCATTTTTCTTTGCTATTACACATACTTCATCTATTTAGTGTAATTATTTTCTTCTTCAGATAAGATTAGCCCAACAATATAATTTGGATTTCATAGAAGCTGATCTAGCAAAAGAGATCTTCAGAATTAATTATCCATAGACACTATGTCAAGTATTTATCAGTTAGAATGAATTCAGTTGCGTGTAACACAAAACCTAAATCAAGTGAGTTAAAACCATAATGCAATTAATTTGCTCACAAAATAGGAAGTTCCGAATTAGGAAAGTGTTTGCAGTTACCCATGCAGCGGAGGAATCATTCATCAAGAACTCAGGCTTTTCCTAGTTCCCCGAATTCCCCTTCTCCAGTTTCCATTTTATCCTAAGCTGCTTCCCCTTTAAATTGTAGGATTGCTGTCAGTAGCATTGGTCTGAATGCCTCCTTGTTCTTATTCAATAGAAGAGAGTGTGGAGCTTTCTATGACTCTCTTAAGAGGTAGAAGATTTTTCATAATTCCCAGCAAAATTCTCCTTCTAAATAATGAGCCTTAAGTGGGTCATTACCTGTTCCTGAACCAACCTGTATTTCCAGAAAAAACCCTTGTGCTGATGATTTAAGGCAATGCTTCTGAACCAACCAACAACAACAATAACAACAAAAATAAAGGAATCTCGTGAATAGTTTTACTGAATACAAACCTGACTCTGTTAAACGTACGGTTGCTATGTAATTGTGCTGGGGAAAGGTGAAATGAATGTTTAGGGAGATTGGATTATGATGTGCAATACAACATTTTTAACACAATATTTTAGTGTTAAATATGTACGTATTTATAATATAAATAATTTAATATGTTGTATAATATATAAGCATATATAATATATGAATATGTAAGCATATATTTTATATATATGAATATATATGTTCAGATTCTGACAGGAAATAAGTATCTGGATGAGAGAACAGACCATTTGTTATTTATAGAACATGTCAGTTCTCACAGAGCTCCAGTCTCTATGGGGTGACACAGTAAAGGCCTTATATTACCCTGCACATGCAGAAGGTATTACACCCCAAGAGAGGAATCCTGAAATTATGAGACTTGGAGCTCAAGTAGAGTGGTTGGTGTAACAGCCCATCTTCCCTCCTGCAGAGAGAGAGAGAGAGAGAGAGAGAGAGAGAGAGACCTTTACTCTGGAATGTAAACAGATCTTCTCCAGTGAGGAAAGGGAAAGTCTCTAGACTCCCTAGCCTGGAATATAAGCTAATGGTTCTAGGGAGATAACACTACATTTCTCTGGAATAATATATTATCTCTAGCTTCCAAGGCATATTTGTTCTTAGGGATCCTTTAACCAATGCCCTTTGCTCAGAAACCCCAGATTGTCCAGAAATGTAAAAATATTCTTGGAAAATGATCTCCTGATAGCTAAACAAAATTCTTCCAATAGAGGTTATAGAGTGGCATGAAAATGTCAATCTGGTAGGCAGTGAAATATTGGTAAACCTTATGCTTTGATGAGATCAAGTTGAATTGAATTGCCACGTTTCTCAACAGTTAACTCTTTTAAAACTTAAGTGACAAAAACATTTTATGTCTTCATTTCATTAACTCAAAAACAATTCACTCAGTATAAACTAAGGACAAGTCAATACTGAGAAGTGATCAGAATGTTGCCTTTTCCTACTGGAGCATGCAAGTTAATAAACAGTTCAGTGGACCCTTGAACGACGCCGGAGTTAGGGACATCAACTCCCTATGCAGTCAAAAATTTGAGTATAGCTTTTGACTCCCCAAAAGCTTAACTACCAACAGCCTACCCTTGACCAGAAGTATTATTGATTACATAAAGTCAATTAATACATATTTTGTATTATATACTGCAATCTTACAATAAAGTAAGAGAAAAGAACATGTTATTAAGAAAATACAAGGAAGAGAAAATACCTTCCAATAACCCTGTACTTGTGAATACCAGAAGTTTATTCATCTGTTTCAAGATGAATTGTATTTCTGAAATGGCAGCAACCACTGTAGCAGACCTTAATCTATAGTACATATCAAGAGATTCAACTTTTTCTTGTAATGTCACAACTTTGCTCCTTGGGAGCACTTCCAGCATCACTATTGGCACTTCGTATGGGTCCCATGGTGTTATTCAAGGCTTATGGTATTGCACTAAACACAATGAAAAATATGGGAGGACCACGAGAGGTCACTTTTTACTGTGCAATTTACCGGAGAGAGGAACAACTCAATGTTAGATGATTAGTGACACATGACTTTTTAAATGGATACTTACAACACTGGAGCTCACTGCAACAGCAACAGGAGGTGGCTACAAAATTATTACAGTAGTAAAGTATGTACCAGTTAATTTTATGCAGTTATGATTTAATATTGCATTAATGTGTCTTTTGACTGTGATTGGAGTCATGTCCATTCTGTATTTGTGTACTTATTGAAAAAAATCCATATATAAGTGGACCCGTGCAGTTCAAACCTGTGTTGTTGAAGGGTGAACTCTACAGTAGTCTTCCATGATCTGTGCTTTTGCTTTCTGATCCTTCAATTACTCAAGATCAACAGAGATCTAAAAATATAAGTGGAACATTCCAGAAATAAACAATTCATAAATTTTGAATCACTCGCTGTTCCGAGTAGCTTGAGGAAATCTTTTGCCAACCTGCTCCATCCAGCCCAGGATGTGGCTCATCCCTTTGTCCAGCATTTCCGTGGTGTCTGCATTATCTGCCCGTTAGTTACTTAGTAGCCTTCTTGGTAGTCAGATGGACTGTCATGGTATTGTGGTGCTTGTGTTCAAGTCACTCTTGTTTTACTTAATAATGGCCCCAAAGTGCAAGAATAGTGGTGCTGGCAATGTAGATATGGCAAATGAAAGCCTTGAAATGCTGCCTTTCAGAAAAAAGTGTTTGTGTGTTGGGGTAACCAAGGCAAAAATGGAAAGATGGGATATCAAATTAAAAAGCTTCTGCACAGCAAAGAATACAGTCGACAAAGTGAAGGGGCAACCTACAGAATGGGAGAAAGTATTTGCAAACTACCCATCTAACAAGGGATTCATAAGCAGAATACATAAGGAGCTAAACAACGCTATAGGAAAAAAATCTCATAATCCAGTCAAAAAATGGGCAAAATATTTGAACAGACATTTCTCAAAGGAAGACATACAAATGGCAAGCAGGCATATGAAAAGATGCTCAACATCATGGATCATCAGAGAAATGCAAATCCAAACTACAATGAGATATCATCTCACCCCAGTTAAAATGGTTTTTGTCCCAAAGTCAGGCAATAACAAATGCTGGGAAGCATGTGGAGAAAGGGAACCCTTGTATACTGTCAGTGGCAATGTAAATTAGCACAACCACTTTGAAGAACAGCTTGGAGGTTCCTCAAAAAACTGAAAATAGAGCTACCCTATGATGCAGCAATCCCCCTGCTGGGCCTGGGCCTATGCCCAAAAGAAAGGAAATCAGTACTTCGAAGAGATATCTGCACTCTCATGTTTTTCGCAGCCCTGTTCCCAATAGCCAAGTTGTGGTAGTAAACTAAGTGTCCATCAACAGATGAATGGATAAAGAAAATGCGGTATATATGCACAGTGGAGTGCAATTCAGCCATGAAAAAGAATGAGATCCTGTCATTTGCAGCAATGTGGATGGAATTGGAGGCTGTTTAGTGAAATAAGCCAGATACAGAAAGACAAATATTGTGTGTTCTCACTTACTGGTGGGATCTAAAAGTCAAAACAATTGAACTCCTGGACATAGAGATTAGAAGAATGTTTCCCAGAGGTTAATGGGTACAAAAAAATAGAATAAATAAAACCTAGTGTTTGATAGCACAGGGTGACTATAGTCAACAATAATTTAATTGTACATTTTTAAATAAAAGAGTGTAATTGGATTGTTTGTAACACAAGGATAAATGCTTGAGGGAATAGATACCCGATTTCACATGATGCGATTATTACACGTTGCATGCCTGTTTCAAAAAATGTTATGTAGACGGTGCACAGTGGCTCATTCCTGTAATCTCAGAACTTGAGTAGCCGAGGTGGGTGGATCACTTGAGGTCAGGAGTTTGAGACCAGCTTGGCCAACATGATGAAGCCCCATTTCTACTAAAAATACAAAAATTAGCTGGGCGTGGTGGTGGGTGCCTATAATCCCAGCTACTTGGGAGGCTGAGGCAGGAGAATCGCTTGAGCCTGGGAGGCGGAGGTTGCAGTGAGCCGAGTTTGCATCATTGCACTCCAGGCTGGGCGACAGAGTGAGACTCTGTCTCAAAAAAAAAACAACAACAACAAATAAATCTTGTGTACCCCATAAATATATACTCCTATGAACCCACAAAAATTAAAAATATTATTTTTTTAAAAAGAGAAAAGGCAAAAGTTCTTGACTTAATAAGGAAAGAAAAAAGAAGTCATGTGCTGAGGTGGCTAAGATTTACGGTGAAAAACAATCTTCTATCAGTGAAACTGTCAAGAAGGAAGAAGAAATTCATGCATGTATGTATATATATAGAGTTTAGTACTGTCCGTGGTTTCAGGTATCCACTGGGGATCTTGCAACCCATCTCCACTGGGTAAGGGAAGACTACTGTAATTGTCATTTAAGTGGATTAAACTGACTTTCTTGGTTTCATTCTAGCATGAGTTGACAATTTAACAACTCTCATTTCTTATATTCATTAAAATGTTTTCCCCCCTCTGACTCCCCCAGAAATCTATTTCATTTTTCTCCATCAGACTAATTCTGTTTCTTGAAATCTTCATAGAAAGTTGTGCATTGCTCTATTCACTGTAAGGTTCTATCCATTTCAGTTATATTAATTTCTAATTCCAGAGAGCTACATAAGAGTCTTTGTATGTTTTTGTGTTTCTGCTACATGCTTTATTAGAATTTTAAAAAGCTAACAGTTATCAAATGCTTACTAGGTATGAGGCTTTTTGCTTTTTCTTGCAATTTCTCATTTAATTCTCACAAGGACATTAGAGGGTAGTGCTCTAGCTTTAGAACTGGTAAAATGTAGGCAAGAAGAAAGTAGGTAATTTCACAATAGTCACATAATTAGCAAATGGCAGAGCCTGCGTTTATCAAATAAGAAAATGCACATGGAAGCCCAGTGTGGTGGCATGTGTCTGTAGTCCCAGCTGCTTGGGAGGCTGAGGTGGGAGGGTTGTTAGAGCCCTGATATTTGAGGTTACAGTGAGCTATGATTGTGCCACTGCACTCCAGCCTGGGTGATATACCAAGACCTTGTCTCAAAAACAAACAAACAAAAGAAAAAGGAGAATGCATATGCCCACGGAGTGCCCTGTGCAAGCTATATACCTCCATGTATGTTGGTAGAGTTAGAATTATTTATGCTTTCATCTCTCCTATTAGATTCGAAATGACTTTAGGGTAGGTAGGAAATTGCAAAGTGAGAAATTTCCTGCACTCTTTGCCCCTATGATCCCAGGGTAACTCATAATTAGTCTTGAGTGACCAGATGATTGTCTTTGCCTATGAAAGCAATTGTTTCATGAGTTCATGTAAAGCAAAAAACCTGACATTCACTAGCAAATGCTAGCAGCAGTGCAAGGCAAACCATATTGCTCATGAAGGTTTGGCAGAGCCCTGGTAACTGAGGCAGTTGCTTCTCTTTAGGCAATTTACTTGCCACTTCACAGCCATTGCCAGTAACTTTGCCAAGCTAGTCCCGGCTGTTCTATAACCCACTCTTTAAGGTAGATCATTTACCAGAAGTAAATCTATCTTACAATGGTCATCCTTCAAATGAGTTGGAGAAAGACTCAAGGCAGCAATTATTCAACTTTATTGCTTCAGCGACTAAAGCATTTTTTGCTTTAATGGGCTGCCAAGCTATATAGAGAGAAAGGGCTTGTGGCAGGACTGGGAAGAGGAGAACACAATGAGAGTTAGAAAGCAAACTCCGCTCCCTGGGGCTTCAGCTAAATAGCTGGCTTTGAGATTTGCATGTTTCATGAAACTCTCCTATTGGCAGCTGCGATTGGCTATTTGACCCCCTTTATCACCTGTTCATGTTAACACAGAGGTTCACAGTGTTGTTTCTTGTCAAAAGAACTATGCTAAGATAGAGGAGCCTAATTGCGTATTTTGTCAGGCTGATATTAGCAACACAGGGGGAGGTGGAGCACCAAAACAAACTGTGCAGGGTGAATATTTTACAAAGGCGGCAACCCATGGCACAGAGTGCCTTGAAATGATGTGATTTGGGCAAAACAGCCCAGATCTCAGATTTATTTGTTTCCTCCTGTTTACTTTCTGTGGGCAACAGGTGCCTAAGGTATCATTTCAATAGGAACAGATCACTATTTTTTTTCTAATTCAGGGTTGCTGTTATCAACAGATAGAAGTGTATTAAGTGCATCTCAAAAGAACACTCCAAATGGATAAGGTAATAGTTATTTGATCCCTAATGAAGACTTTTATCTCACTTTCTATTACTCTGACCGTGTATTATATTGCCTCAGGTCAATTTGACTTACAATATTGTTGAATACAGTACCATTTAAACTAGCTCCAGGAAATTTGGTCTGCCTTACATGATTTTGTACTTAGCTATGGAGGATATAGTGTAAGGTTTAAGGCAGTTGAAAACAAAGAACCCGGCAGGTGATTTCAAGGGTGCGAGTTCTATTTAGGTTGAGAAAGAAAAGAAAAAAAAGTTCCTATGAATATCTCTATGAGATTCAGCAACAATTATAACCTCAACACAAAGGGTCATGAACTAGAGTTAAGTAGAGAAATAACACTGAAGCTCTGATTTTTTTTCACAAATGATAGTAGAGGTACAAAATAGCTTGTTAAAGGTAGTGATGTCCAAATGGAGTCTGACATATATGAGTCAACAACAAAAAAAGCAATAAAAGTTTACTGTATAAAGAAGCTTGAAGCAGTGAGATCTAATGTCAAGATTTTTAAAGGGTCTGTCTATTCTTTATTTTTCTTGGGTAATTCTAACATTAGATCATTGTGTAGAATTTTCTTTTCTTTCTTTTTTTTAGAGAGAGCAATGATAGGTTCTCACTATATTCCCAGTCTGGTCTCAAACTCCTGGCCTCAAAAGATCCTCTTGCCTCCACTGGGACTACAGATGTGTGCCAATGTGCCCAGCTTAAATATACAGTATTTTATGAGACTGTCCATGACTCATATAATAATAAAAATTGCCCTAAGAATTATTGCAGAGCTAATATATGGATTTTATAATTTATTTTCTTTTTTTAAAATTTTATTATTATTATACTTTAAGTTTTAGGGTACATGTGCACAATGTGCAGGTTTGTTACATATGTATACATGTGCTAAGTTGGTGTGCTGCACCCATTAACTCGCCATTTAGCATTAGGTATATCTCCTAATGCTATCCCTCCCCCCTCCCCCCACCCCATCACAGTCCCCGGTGTGTGATGTTCCCCTTCCTGTGTCCATGTGTTCTCATTGTTCAGTTCCCACCTATGAGTGAGAACATGCGGTGTTTGATTGTTTTTGTCGTTGCGATAGTTTGCTGAGAATGGTGGTTTCTAGCTTCATCTGTGTCCCTACAAAGGACATGAACTCATCATTTTTTATGGCTGCATACTATTCCATGGTGTATACGTGCCACATTTTCTTAATCCAGTCTATCATTGTTGGACATTTGGCTTGGTTCCAAGTCTTTGCTATTGTGAATAGTGCCGCTATAAACATACGTGTGCATGTGTCTTTACAGCAGCATGATTTATAATCCTTTGGGTATATACCCAGTAATGGGATGGCTGGATCAAATGGTATTTCTAGTTCTAGATCCCTGAGGAATCGCCACACCGACCTCCACAATGGTTGAACTAGTTTACATTCCCACCAACAGTGTAAAAGTGTTCCTATTTCTCCACATCCTCTCCAGCACCTGTTGTTTCCTGACTTTTTGATGATTGCCATTCTAACTGGTGTGAGATGGTATCTCATTGTGGTTTTGATTTGCATTTCTCTGATGGCCAAAACAGACACATAGACCAATGGAACAGAGCAGAGACCTCAAAAATAATGCCGCATATCTACAACTATCTGATCTTTGACAAACCTGACAAAAACAAGCGATGGGGAAAGGATTCCCTATTTAATAAATGGTGCTGGGAAAACTGGCTAGCCACATGTAGAAAGCTGAAACTGGATCCTTCCTTACACCTTATACAAAAATTAATTCAAGATGGATTAAAGACTTACATGTTAGACCTAAAACCATAAAAACCCTAGAAGAAAACCTAGGCAATACCATTCAGGACATAGGCATGGGCAAGGACTTCATGTCTAAAACACCAAAAGCAATGGCAACAAAAGCCAAACTTGACAAATGGGATCTAATTAAACTAAAGAGCTTCTGCACAGCAAAAGAAACTACCATCAGAGTGAACAGGCAACCTACAGAATGGGAGAAAATTCTTGCAACCTACTCATCTGACAAAGGGCTAATATCCAGAATGTACAATGAATTCAAACAAATTTACAAGAAAAAAACAAACAACCCCATCAAAAAGTGGGCAAAGGATATGAACAGATACTTCTCAAAAGAAGATATTTATGCAGCCAAAAGACACATGAAAAAATGCTCATCATCACTGGCCATCAGAGAAATTTATTTTCTTACATAAAAAAAGTCTTGGGATTTTGAGTCTTACATTTGACAAAGATATAAACAAAATTTGACTAAGAATAAGATACACTAATAATTTAGTACAGTGTATATATTTTTTAATAGAGCAAAGTTTATGGCCAGTTCTGTTTATTTTTTTTTTTCTTTTTTTTAAGTCTCGTTCTGTCACCCAGGCTGGAGTGCAGTGGCGTGATCTCGGCTCACTGCAACCTTCGCCCCCTGGGTTCAAGCAATTCTCTCGATGCAGCCTCACAAGTAGCTGGGATTACAGGCGTCTGCCACCATGCCCAGCTGATTTGTGTATTTTTATTAGAGATGGGGTTTCACCATGTTGGCCAGGCTGGTCTTGAACTCCTGAACTAAAGTGATCCTCCCACCTTGGTCTCTCAAAGTGTTGGGATTACAGGCATGAGCCGCCACGCCTGGCCCAGGTCTTTTACATGGTAGCTTCTGTGGTCCAGTTTCAGGTTATATGCCAGACATTTTTTCCTTCATAAAACTTTTAAAGCTCACAGATAAGATTAGTATGTAGCCGGCCGTGCGCGGTGGGTCACACCTGTAATCCCAGCACTTTGGGAGGCCGAGGCGGGCAGATCACGAGGTCAGGAGATCGAGACCGTGGTGAAACCCCGTCTGCACTAAAAATACAAAGAAAAAAAAAATTAGCTGGGCGCAGTGGCGGGCGCCTGTAGTCCCAGTTACTCCGGAGGCTGAGGCAGGAGAATGGCGTGAACCCGGGAGGCGGAGCTTGCAGTGAGCCGAGATTGCACCACTGCACTCCAGCCTGGGTGACAGAGCGAGACTCCCTCTGAAGAAAAAAAAAAAAAAAAAAAAAAAAAAAGATTACTATGTAGCCTGTGTAAGATCAGGAATGGTAATATTATCATAAAAGAAGGCGATTGCAGGTGGGATGTCTAAAAAGTAGTGAAAGTATCAGGAGGTGACAAATAGAAATGATTGCCTATTATTCTCTGTTGAGGAAAGTTGTGACACTCTTTGTATGTTGGGTGGGAGGAGAGTTCAGTGATCAATTACTGCTGCTTTTCCTGGGCCATGGAACAGGGAAACATGGGATATTTGTCTTTATTTGCTGAAGTTGTAAGTAAAAGAATGTCTTGATTCTATTCTAAAGGGTAGAGAATAGCAATTCATTAGGGTGGCATAGGTTGATAGAAACTTTCTGTAAGTGACTGTACCATTTAATATTCTCACCAATATGAAGGTTCTTTCCAGTTTCTCCAAGTCCTTGTCAACACTTAACATTGTCTGCATTTGATGTTCTAGGGGTGTGAAGTGGAATCTCATTGTGGTTTTAATTTGAATGTCCCTAATGAGTAATAATGATGAACTTCTTTTAATGTTTGTATTGGCCATTTCTATATCTTCTCTGGTGAAATGTCTATTAAAATCTTTGGCCCATTTTTTTAGTGTTTTTATTTTAAAAGATGGGGTCTCATTCTGTTGCCCAGGCTGGAGTGCAGTGGCATGATCATGGCCCACTGCAGCCTCAACCTCACAGGGTCAAGTGATCTACCTCATTCTCCCAAGTAGCTGGGACTACGGGTGTGCACCAGCACATCCGGCTAATTTTTTAAAAAATATTTTTTGTAGAGACAAGGTCTTGCTATGTTGCCCAGGCTAGCCTTGAACTCCTGGACTTAAGCAATCCTCCCACCTCCACCTTCCAAGGTGCTAGGACTAGAGGTGTGAACCACTGTGCCCAGCCTTTGCCCACTTTTTAGTTGGGTTGTTTACCATCTTAATTATGGAGTTGTAAGAGTTTTTCTTTTTATACTTGAGTTACAAGTTTATTACTGGAGATATGATTTTCAAACATTTCTTCTACTCCATGGCTTGTCTTTTTACTTTCTTGATTGTATATTTTGAAGTGAAAAGGTTTTGAATTTCAGTGATGCCTATTAATGTTTTTCTTTATTTCCTGTGTTTACTTTTGTAAAATTATTACATAATCCAAGATCACTACTCCTATGTTTTCTTCTAAGAATTTTATAGTTTAGTTTAGTTCTTACTTGTAAGTATACAATATAGTTCAAGTTACTCTTTGTGTATGGCGTGAGGTAAGGGTTGAAGCTCATTACTCTGCATGTAGGTATCTAATTGTTCCAGCACCATTTGGTGAAAAAACAATTTTTTCCTCTATTTAAAGGTATTAGTACCTTTGTCCAGGGAGAGTTTCTTGTTATGCATAATTCTCATAGCAAATCAATGCAAGTAAATCTGGCTACTAAATACTATAGTCAGTATCCTCATCATGTTCACGAAGAAACTGAAAGGCAATGCTAAATCTATAAATTTCTGATATATAAGACACTGTACTATTGTGCTAAGTCCTTGATAGTTTACGCGGCATATCTAAATACAGGGCAGTGGCTATAGACATTAATCAAATAATAATGTATGTACGGTTGTGAACTGTGGTAAGAGCTGAAATTATTTTTTTTCTAAATACAATAATTCAATAGTAAAGCTATTATCAATTATACTTTTCTTATAGTACTAGAATATAAATTTCTAATTGGTTTTATAATTTTAAACTTGGAAAATATTGAATAGTTAATAATTTTAGTTGTGTTGGTTGTAAAAAGAAACTGCATAATAAAAGTCTTCTAAAAATTCAGTGGAGATGGAATTTATTCCTTAGATTACATTGAGCACTGAGCTAAGCATTGGGCATTTATCATATTCTTCTGCAAATGTTTGCATTTTAATTTTCCTCTGAGGGTTAAAGCTGAGACGGATTTTGTTCTTGTGCCTCTGAGTAAGTCACTTAACTCTTTGTGCCTCAGTGTTCTTTTCTCTTAAATGGTTGTATGAATCTCATATGATTCTTGTGAGGATTAAATACATTTATCTATATAAAATACTGAAAACGGTGCTTGACGCATAGTAAGTGTTGACTACTATCCATCACTTGAATGTAAGTCCTTTGAGGGCAGAGATTTTTGTTACTTTAATTCCCTAATATATTCTAGTCCCTTAAACACATACCTGACACATATCTGATGTTTAAAAACTGTAGAGTGAAGTATGTAAGACATAAAATGCTGGTTTCTAGTAGGGCAAATTGTGGGAATTTCATTAGACTTATGGTAATGGGCTCATCATGCCATTGAAAATCTTTTCCCCATTCTCTCTTTTTTTTTTGGCAGTGGAGTTTCACTGTGTTGCCCAGGCTGGAGTGCAGTGGTGGGATCTTGGCTCACTGCAAGCTCTGCCTCCCGGGTTCAAGGGATTCTCCTGCCTCTGCCTCCCAAGTAGCTGGGATTACAGGTGCCTGCCACCACGCCAGGCTAATTTTTATATTTTTAGTAGAGATGGGGTTTCACCATGTTGGCTAGGTTGGTCTCAAACTCCTAATCTCTGGTGATCCACCCGCCTCGGCCTCCCAAAGTGCTGGTATTACACACGTTAGCCACTGTGTCGGATCCTCATTCTTTACCTGTTACCTGTTTACCTTTACACAAGAGTGTGTGATGTGCTAATATGGTGCACTAGATTGGAGTTACTTTTGTAAACCCTAGATTTGGAACAATGTTATATAGGGGAATGGGCAGTTTTACAGAGACTTATGGACTAAATTGAGATACGTGTAGAGCAAGTCATAAATAAAATTGAAAAACAATCCTGATCTCCCAACATACCCACTTAAAGAATTGAAACAATTTGGAGAAAAACGCTGGCAGAGCCACCAGATGGTAGTGAGGACTGTGAAGTGAAAGTGTGGCAGAAAAGATGAGTTGGAATGAAAACACCCCTTGGTTTTTGCAAAGTTCCCTACACATGTATTGAATTTCCAATAACATTTAGGATGTTTTGAGAGATGAAGAATCCTTTTCTAGAAATAAATTTCAATTTGAATCCCATAGTCAGAGACGCCTTGGAAACTCTCATTGTTTGCTACTTGGAGCTGCATATTGTCAAGTCTAGATTCTATCAAATGAAGATTCTTTAAAAGAAAAGAGAAATTTGATCACTACGGGGAGTAGGTAAAGTCAATTGCTGAAATGAATAGGAAAAGGACACAGTTTCAAAGAGAAAGTGAGAGTATCCGAGTTGGCCCTTTCAATATGCTTCTTGACAGATGTGCCGTCTTCCAGCTTCTTTTCTCCAGTGAGTTAAGGAAGCCAGTCTTAACAAAGAAGGACTCTCATGTGTCTCCCTGTATGGAAGACAGTGCCTCTAATAGCATTTGGTTACTCTTAAAAGCCCTTGTTCTTGTGGTTTGAGCTCTTGCGGTTTTCAAGAAAAAGTTTGAGGAAAGCAAGTATATTTATTTTTGGAAACCGAAGAGGCAGATGCCATTAAAATGTGTCCAGTACATCTTTTAAAATGGAAATATAATATTAAATGTCTCAGAGCAAGTGACTTAATAACGCAAGGTGTTTCCTTGCAATCTGGATTAATTCTCTTAATTTATCCTAATGTTTTCCTGTTATTTCAATGGGTTTGTTTTGATCTAAATATATATATATCGATTTAAGCTTTGATTTGTTTTGACAGAAGAACAATTCCTGTTCAGATCAATTCTGTGGATTTATCCTCTATAGGAAGGAAGTGGATGACAGGTATGGCTGAGGTTTTCCTAGGAAATTCAGTGTTTGCCATACCGGGCATTGACTGGGAGGAAGTGAGGATCGTGGATCTAGTTTTCATAAAATCAAACCAAGCCAAACCAAGCGAAACAAAGGAATAAGGGAAAGCCGAGAAATTGCCAAGCAACCAAAATTTGGAATTCTTGTTTCAGTTGGAGGAGGGTTCATGAATTCGATATCGCGATAATAAGATAGTGCTACAACTGTGTGAGTACTTTAAGCTGTGGAAGATTTTTCACCTACGTTTTCACATGTGATGTTCAGAACACTGTTAGGGCAATGGCAGGGCAAGGTGCGCCTTTATTAAAACCATTTTGTCAGCGGTGAAACTGGGTGTATTAATTTCCTAGGGCTGCCAATAACAAATGTCCACAAACTTGGTGGCTTCAAACAACAGAAAGTTATTCTCTTATAGTTCTGGAAGCTAGAAATCAGAAATCCAGTCAGCAGGGCTATGTTTATTCTGGAGACTCTAGGGCGGCGGTCCCCAAACTTCTTGGCACCAGGGACCTGTTTCATGGAAGACAATTTTTCCGTGGACAGGGGATGGGGATGGTTTTGGAATGACTCAAGCACATTAAATTTATAGTGTCCTTTATTTCTATTATTACCTTCTAATATGTAATGAAGTAACTATGCAACTCATCATAAAGTAGAATCAGTGGGAGCTCTGAACTTGTTTTCCTACAACCAGATGGTCCCATCTGGGGGTGATGGGAGGCAGTGACAGATCATAAGGCATTAGATTCTCATAAAGAGCTTGCAGCCTAGGTCCCTCGCATGCTCAGTTTGCAATAGGATTTGTGCTCCTGTGAGAAGCTATGAAGAATGCTGCTGCTGATCTGACAGGGCACAGAGCTTAGGGGGTAATGCAAGCAATGGGAAGTGGCTGTAAATACAGATGAAGCTTTGCTTGCTTACCCATCTCTCATTTCCTGTTGTGTAGCCCAGTTCGTAACAGGCTGCAGACGTAACAGGCTGGGGACCCCTGCTTTAGGGGAGAATTCATTCTTTGCCCCTTCTGGCTTCTGGTGGCTGCCAGTATTCCTTGCCTTGTGGCCACATCCCTCCCATTTCTGCCTCTGTGACCACATTGCCTTCTCCTGTACGGTGTCTTCTCCTCTTCTGTGTCTCAAATCTCCCCCTACCTTTCTCTTATAAGGACAGTTGTGATTGGCTTTAGGGGCCCACTCGGATAGTCCAGAATGATCTCTTCATCTCAGGATACCTACGTGCTTTCCATAGTTTGCTGTCCCATGTATGTTAAAGAAAAATGAAATGGTCTTGGCTGGGCACGGTGGCTCACACCTGTAATCCCAGCACTTTGTGGAGCCAAGGTGGGTAGCTCACAAGGTCAGGAGTTCAAGGCCAACCTGGCCAATATGGTGAAACCCTGTCTCTAATAAAAATACAAAAATTAGATGGGCATGGTGGTAGGCACCTGTAGTCCCAGCTACTGGGGAGGCTGAGGCAGGAGAATCATTTGAATCCAGGAGGCAGAGGTTGCAGTGAGCCGAGATTGTGCCACTGCACTCCAGCCTCAGCGACAGAGTGAGATTTTGTCTCAAAAAAAAAAAAAAGAAAGATGAAATGATCTCATTTCAAGAAAATGAAGACCTTAAAACGAAACGTACACAGATGAAATAATAAAAATGAGTAAGTGACTGTTAAACTCAAGGGTCAAGAGATCTTGTATATTTGGGATTCATCATGTTAAACAAAATGAAACAGATTTTTAAATTACAAATATATCAAAGTCCTTAATATATTTCAGTGCATTTTGAGTTTCCAAGGCAAATATAGTGTTTCCGAAAATTAAATGAAGAAGAGAATTCCTTTTTGCTGGACTTCAGGGACGAGTGGGCTTCAAAAAACAGTTTAGGAAAACAGTGCATTTCCTGCTTGACAAAGAGAAATTTAGCTCAACTATAGTGAATGGCCCGAGAGAAGAGTTACACAGGTTGCTATTGTGTCCTGAATTGGTGGGTTCTTGGTCTCACTGACTTCAAGAATGAAGCCGCGGACCCTGGCGGTGAGTGTTACAGCCCTTAAGGTGGCGCGTCTGGAGTCTGTCCCTTCTGAGGTTCAGATGTGTTTGGAGTTTTTTCCTTCTGGTGGGTTCGTGGTCTCGCTGGCTCAGTAGTGAAGCTGCAGACCTTCGCGGTGAGTGTTACAGCTCTTAAGGCAGCGCGTCTGGAGTTGTTTGTTCTTCCTGCTGGGCTCCTGATCTCGCTGGCCTCAGGAGTGAAGCTGCAGATCTTCGCGGTGAGTGTTACAGCTCATAAAAGCAGCGTGGACCCAAAGAGTGAGCAGTAGCAAGATTTATTGTAAAGAGTGAACGAACAAAGCTTCCACAGTGTGGAAGACCACCTGAACCAGTTGCCGATGCTAGCTCCGGCAGCCTGCTTTTATTCTCTTATCTGGCCCCACCCACATCCTGCTGATTGGTAGAGCCGAGTGGCCTGTTTTGTCAGGGTGCTGATTGGTGCGTTTATAATCCCTGAGCTAGATACAAAGGTTCTCCACTTCCCCATCAGATTAGTTAGATACAGAGTTTTGACACACAGGTTTTCCAAGGCCCCACCAGAGCAGCTAGATACAGATTGTCGATTGGTGCATTTACAAACCTTGAGCTAAACACAGGGTGCTGACTGGTGTGTTTACAAACCTTGAGCTAGATACAGAGTGCCGATTGGTGTATTTACAATCGTTGAGCTAGACATAAAGGTTCTCCACGTCCTCACCAGAGCAGCTAGATACAGAGTCGATTGGTGCACTCACAAACCTTGAGCTAAACACAGGTGCTGATTGGTGTGTTTACAATCCCTGAGCTAGATATAAAGACTCTCTACGTCCCCACCAGACTCAGGAGCCCAGCTGGCTTCACCTAGTGGATCCCACACCGGGGCTGCAGGTGGAGCTGCCTGCCAGTCCTGCACCCTGCGCTGGCATTCCTCAGCCCTTGGTTGGTCGATGGGACTGGGCGCCGTGGAGCAGGGGGTGGTGCTCGTCGGGGAGGCTCGGGCCGCACAGGAGCCCATGGAGTGGGTGGGAGGCTCAGGCATGGCGGGCTGCAGGTCCCGAGCCCTGCCCCGCGGGAAGGCAGCTAAGGCCCGGCGAGAAATCGAGCGCAGCGCCGGTGGGCTGGCACTGCTGGGGGACACAGTACACCCTCCGCAGCTACTGGCCCGGGTGCTAAGTCCCCCATTGCCTGGGGCCAGCAGGGCTGGCTGGCTGCTCCGAGTGCGGGGCCCACCAAGCCCACGCCCACCCGGAACTCCAGCTGGCCCGCAAGCGCCGCACGCAGCCCCGGTTCCCGCTCGTGCCTCCCTCCACACCTCCCTGCAAGCTGAGGGAGTGGGCTCCGGCTTTGGCCAGCCCAGAAAGGGGCTCCCACAGTGCAGTGGGGGGCTGAAGGGCTCCTCAAATGCTGCCAAAGTGGGAGCCCAGGCAGAGGAGGTGCCAAGAGCAAGTGAGGGCTCTGAGGACTGCCAGCACGCTGTCACCTCTCACTATCATGTATTGAGTACTTACTATGAGTTAGGTACGTATTAGGTACTTTAGATGCATTAACATTTAATCTTTACAACACCCTTTTGAGGTAGGTTCTATTATAATTATTTTATATCGGGAAACTGAGGCAAAGAGATTTACACAACTTTTCCAGATTTACACAGCTAGTAAGTGGTTGAGTTTGGATCGTAATCAAGGTAACCTTCTTAATCAAGCCTGCTATCATAACCACTGTATTAATCTGATATTAAAATATTCTAATAAAGCAGCTGTAGTGTAACCAAGTAGTTAATAAATAAATATGGATACATATGCATATCATATATATATTTTTTCAGTCTCAAGACTTTGGAAAGGGGCGCTTAGGCTATTTTGGTCTGTATTTGGCACCAGGGAAGCGAGACTCGCTGTCCAATCCGTCTGTCATTGTTTCTGTCATTTAGGGTTCCGAGAAGCGGCAAAGCTAATGCTCTGAAGGAGGAAAAGAAATATGTTGCGATGTTCTCAAGACGTATATCAAAGATGTTTCAGTCCCCAGGTAATTTACTAGATCTGGTTCTATTCCTATTTTCTTCAAAGCTTCAGTAAAAAGGAAAGAGATGCCAAATGGTGTTTAGGCTAGCAGAGAGACATCTGGACTCTTCTCCTGGATCTGGCCTTGCTAACAGGAAATTTCTCCTGACAATCGCAGGGCTGTGGTGAGGTGGAAGAAATTTCTTTTCTCCTAAGATAAAATTCCAAGTTATTATTTTTGGAATATTCTCCATTACATTTTCTGTAGTACACTTAAAGCTTGTTCCCGTAGTTAACAACTACTGCCATCGCTCCACATTTATTTTAGGAATGAAGGCTGAATTATCTAAGGATGAAGAAGGGATTACTAGGTAGAACAAGACCACAGAGCCCTATTTCATGGGGTGGCATTAACCTCAGAGGATCAAATCAGTGATTGTTAGCAAAGTGCTTGGAACGGTGACTGCCACACATGAGGGCTTGCTTACTAACTCAATAAATTAAAACAAAACTGAGGGAGAATGTGCCTTCTCTGGGGATAGTCCTGGGACTTCTGAGAAAATCCGAAAGGACTCAGCTACTGCCCTCAAAGCAGGAATTTGTTTGCAAGTTTGCTGAGCTCAACATGCAATATGTAGTGATTTCTCTCTTTTTAAGCCTTAGTGGTTTGGAACAGTGACAAATGCTTCCAAATGATGCCTAGCTTCCATACAGATGGAAGAAGGAAGGCCCATCGAATCTGCAAGGAGCCTCAGGAAATATAGTGAGATATTATTATCATTGTTTTCCAGACATGGAAATTGAGTCTCAAAGAGGTTAGGTTTCCTGCTCAAGTTCATGCAGAGTGAGGATATAAGCCCACACCTCTCTCACACCCACATCAAGATGCTTCCACTGCACTGCTCAAGGCAATCAGGCATGACCTGTAGATAGTCTCATTAGAACAAGTATGTATGTATATATTTATTTATTTCTACCTCTCTTTTTGATCTTATGGAACCCTCTTCCTCATGAGACAATAATTCTTGTTGCATGCTTTAAATTGAAAAGTTTCCCTTGACTGAACTAATGCTTTCCACGGTGGACTCAGAGAGATTATATAGAGTGCTGATTAGGCGATATGAGACCTAGGAGAAGCTGTTAGATGCTTTGGAAAAATGGGAATTTATATCTTCTTTATAAAAAATAACTGGTTGAATCAGGGAAATAATTTAAAAGTTCGGTTGTGTCTGATCAAGGTTCACTCGTTTGGTAAGCATTTTTTGAAAGCAGACTTTCATGTCAGAGGCTTTACTGGGCTTGGGGAATATAAAAATCAGAAAGACATGCATCTTGTAATGAGCTCACAACCTAGTGTATACACAATCTAATCGTATAACTTTGTTATTCAAGGCATTAAATATTGCAAAAGAAACAAAAACTATTATTTAACCACTGAGCTAATGCGTTCCTCTAAAAACTAATCTGTTACGGCAAAAAGTTTTATGTATCCATACAAATATAGATACATAAAGGTATGTATAGGTATTTGCAATCACTTTCTCTCTTATGTATGCCAAAGTCTAGCCATAATGATTAGCAAAAGGCTAGGATAATTTATATTAGAAATGAGATCAAAATGCTGATAAAAAGGTGACAAAATAAATTCAATCAAACCAAATTGTACTTACACTATGATAATGACTACTAGCTACTATCTGTGGAATAGCTAATTATGTGGGTCAGACGCCATGTATTTTTAATACTATGTCTCATTTGCTTACTTATTGTGGGGTATTTTCCACATTACAACCCAATGATATGTTTCACTTGCTGTCTGTGACTGGCAATACAGTAATCCAAGTACCATGATCTGTTACGTTTTCATCCTCATGGGACAATGTTCATGAAACACGTATCCAGCATAAGCATCTTATCCTTCTCTCTTCACTCACTGAAAATACATATTGGATATTTGCTATTAACTATATTATGTATCTCCTAATATTTTCATAAGACTTAAATTTCAGGGAACCAGAGGTAAAATATGGTAAAAAGCCCATATTCTGCTTCTCGTTTAAAAAACTCCAAAGCATGATTTATATGTTCTAATTTCATAGATGGTATGAAAACTGTTTGTAATTAATTTTTAACTATTGCACATATCATGAGAAGATGATTATTTCTAGAGACCTGAAGCCAAAATGTGCTTTAGAATAACCTATTAAGTAACGGGAATTACAATGATTACCTTATTTTAATCTTTCTATGCCTGTTCTTTAATTCCTAAAACTGATTTTTTTTTTCCTATTTAGTTCTTTGAATCTATTTTTGCTTTAGCATAATGAATAACTTATTTTCTGCACCTGCTGGAGCCTATACCTTATTCTTCAAGATAAGTGGCTAAACGATGAGTGCTTTTGGCTGCTTTTTCAGAAAAAGACATTTAGGATGAATCTGTAGAATCACCTGTGTCTTTTGTGTCTGTTATTTTTCACTGAGGGCAAATGGATCTACCTCACCCTCAGACCCCCATCAGGCAAGTTTGCCTTTCCTTTTCCCATCCGCAAGACAAATTAAGAATGCTGAAACCTTTCACTCATAACAAAACAGTGATAAAGCAGGTAACAAGACCTCACATTAATCAGGTCTTTCAAAGAAGAGGCCCCAACCTGCACCCTTTGTCTAGCCTGCTGGTAGGTGGGTTTTTTTTCAGTCTCTTTTTAGGGGCCTAGCATTCTTTAGTTCGGCAGCACATTCTCCTTGGAAATGTTTCACTTTTCAGACAGCCTCTGTGTTGATAAAAAAACCCAGAGAGCCACTACAGAAATCTGAACTTCTAATGATCTTCTTTTATATTTTCTTACAATGGACAATGGCTCTGTCAATGCTAATGGCATCAGTACACAGGCAACAATGCAAAGAGATGCAGGGTGGAGAGAGTAGCCACTGTCACAAGATGTGCTGTATCATCTTGGCACAAAAAAATCCTGTTTTCTGTAGCCAAATTGTTGCTTTCTCTTGTTGAAAATATTCAAGATTCCTGTAAACCAATGCTAAAGAGTAGATGAGTAATTTTCTTCTCAGGAGGAAAACACTACCTTCAGTTAAATGGTAATAGACCAGTTTTCTTGTGCTATTCTAATCCTTTTCACTAACATCACAAAAATAGAGTAATTTCTCCCTTAACTTTCTTCATGCAGCTGTCGACCTGTTGTTCCCAGGCTAAATTGTGCACACGCTGTACCTACAATTATATTGAGTCAAGCACGCCCTCTACTGATCAATAAAAATACTATCGAACAGGATTCACCAGAATACTAAACTCACAAAGGACAGACATTTTGGGCAGTTTTATTTGCAAGTGTGTTTTTCAAACATTGCAAATGTTAGAAGAGTGTAAAAAATTGTATATTAGATTTCACAGAAACATAATTAAATTTAAATTAATTTAAAAAAATAATTTAACTTGTGCTACTGATATAAATTTACAAAATTTACAGATTGCCAAGGATTGATCAGAAAAGGTGAAATAACTTCACTTCTCTTAAAGTTTTTTTTTTTTTTGTGGAAGAACTAACATTTTAACGATACATACAAATAAGTTATTGTTTTAAAGCAAGGGTTGGCAAACTTTTTTTGCAGTGAACCAGGTAGTAAATATCCTAGGCTTCGCTGGGCTGTAAAGTCTCTGTTGCAACTATTTAACTCTATTATTTTTGTGCAAAACTAGCCATAGACAATATGTGAATGAGTGGGTGTGGCTGTGTTCCAATAAAACTTTATTTACAAAGCAAACCAGGCTGGATTGATTTGCTCTATAAAACAGTGAACTTGAAGGCTTGTTGAACCATAAAAGAATGTAAACACCCCCAAAGTGTTGCATTCTTTAAAAAAAAAGTTACTCTGGAGTAGGTGCCTGTGATTTTAACTTGAAGGCTGACATGACTTCGAAACATTCTGAAACTTTTTCTTTTTGATTAGTTCCCTAACTCAACTTACAAACATTGTTAAAAGTAATGAAAGGTTAGAACCCACAGGCCCTCAAACATCATATATTGCAATTATCTAGTTTACAGATGAGGAAGCTAAAGGCTTGAATTTCCTGAATGCTACTCCAGCCATCTACATTATTTTCTGGATCAGCTGTCAATGACTTTTGGTTATTTTGATAAGTTAATGCATGGAATAATTTTACAAACTAGAAGGAATTAAACAAGTATGATTGTTATTAACAAGTTAGGAAAAGAAAATTACAGACGTTTGTATTTTCTCACCCTTTGAAGATCATGTCTACATGAATGATAAAACTACAGCAAGTCAATAACATCTCCCTGTCTTGTAACCACCACAAGTATTAGCAATATTAACTCATACAGATATTTTGTGTATCATAATTTCATAGATATTAGAAACTTTATTGGCAGTTGGGTACAGAGATGACTGTAATTTCTCTTGGCATTTGAGCAAAATAATGAATTATTTGTGTTGATGCATGATAACCAAAGATAGACTCTTCACTATTAAATTGTTATTAGTGTTACTATTATTATTTTTTTGAGATGAAGTCTCACTCTGTTGCCCAGGCTGGAGTGCAGCAGTGCGATCTTGGCCCGCTGCAACCTCTGCCTCCCAGGTTTAAGTGATTCTCATGCCTTAGTCTCCCGACTAGCTAGGATTTCAGACTTGTGCCACCATGCCTGGCTAATTTTTGTAGTTTTGATAGAGATGAGGTTTTGCCATTTGCCCAGGCTGGTCTGGACCTCCTGGCCTCAAGTGATCCTCCTGCCTCAGCCTCCCGGTGTGCTGGGATTACAGGCATGAGCCACCGTGCCTGGCCTTACTTTATTTTTTAATGCCAGATAACCAATCAAGGGTGTGTTTTTTCTTTTGGATTACTTTTGGCAACGGATGTCATTATGTGAAGACACACCCCTATGGCCACTACATATAAATAAAATTTCCTCGAACTTCATTCATTGCTGCATATTCTGACCAAATAGTGAATTTTAAATGTCTTTCAAATTAAAACTAACAATGAAGACTTAAAATAAATCAATTCAGTAATTACTCCTTTATTTAACATCCATTAAAAATAGTTAGCTAAGGGCACTGTGTTAAGTGGTGGTGATACAGTTCTGATCAATAAGGCCTACTTGATTCTTGCTGTCATTGAGCTTTCAGACTATGCAGAAATTATTATTGATACAGCCTGTCTTAGTCTGTTTGAATTGCTGTAACAAAATACCATAAACTGGATAGCTTATAAACAACAGAAATTTATTTTTCCCCTTTCTGGAAAAATAAATTTCTTCCAGAATTTCTCGAACTGGGAAGTCCGAGATCAAGGTGCTGGCAGATTGAGTGTCTGGTGAAGGCCCTTTCTCATAGATGGCATCTTCTTGCTGTGTCTCACATGGTGGAAGGGGAGCAGCAGCTCTCTGCAGACCTTTATCATGGGGCACTAATTCCATTCATCAAGGCTCTGCCTTCATGCCCTAATCACCTCTCAAAGGCCATACCTCCCACCATCATCACATTGGTGAATAGGTTTCATCGTGTGAATCTTGGCAGGGACACAAGTATTCAAACCATAGCAGGCCATGAGCTCTGAGTTTGAAAACAAAAATGAACATGACATTTTTATTTTATGGTCAGCTCATTAGTCTCATTTATACTCTTCTCTCTAGAAATCTCTAGAAACTTCTTGACAGCAAGTTTGCTGTCAAGGGATTTATAGAAAGCATAAATGAGAGTAATCAAATGACAATAATAATATAATAAGTATAAAATGAGAATAGTAGTAGTAATTATATAATTATATAATATTATATAATTATATATAATATTATATAATAAAATAATAAATATATTTATTAACCATAAACTGAGAATAATAATAAATAATGATAACTAAAAAGTCATCTAGGGAGGAGATTAATTATTTACGGAATCCCAAAGAAGGCTTTGTAGCAGCATATTTGATCCAAGACTTGAATGCTAAATAGGATTTAACATGTAGAAATGAAGCAGGAGAGGAAAGAATAGAAATGTTCTTTTTTTTATTTGTACACATTTAAGGGTTGAAAGTGCAATTTTGTTACATGGATATTTAATTTAGTGGTGCAGCCTGGGCTTTTAGTGTAACTGTCACTCCAACAGTGTGTATTGTAGCCATTAAATAATTTCTTATTCTTCACCTCCTTCCCACCCTGCCACCCTTTCGAATCTCCAGTGTCTATTATTCCACACTGTATGTCCATGTGTATACACTGTTCAGCTCCCACTTCTAAGTGAGAACATGCGGTATTTGTCTTCGTGTTTCTGAGTTATTCCACTTAAGGTAATGGCCTGCAGTTCCATCCATATTGCGGCAAAAGACAGGATTTCATTCTTTTTACATGGCTGTGTGTGTGTGTGTGTGTGTGTGTGTGCGCGCACACACACCACATTTTGTTTATCTCATTATCCATTGATGAACACTTTTTTTTTTTTTTTGAGACGGAGTCTTGCTCTGTCGCCCAGGCTGGATTGTAGTGGCGTGATCTCGGCTCACTGCAAGCTCCACCTCCAGGTTCACGCCATTCTCCGGTCTCAGACTCCCGAGTAGCTGGGACTACAGGCGCCCACCACCAAGCCTGGCTAATTTTTTTTTTATTTTTAGTAGAGACGGGGTTTCACCGTGTTAGCCAGGATGGTCTCGATCTCCTGACCTCGTGAGCCGCCAGTCTTGTCCTCCCAAAGTGCTGGGATTACAGGCGTGAGCCACTGCGCCGGGCCTGATGAACACACGTGTTGATTCATATCTTTCCTACTGTGAATAGTGTGGCAATAAACACAGGAGCCTCGACAGAAGAAGTGTCATCATGAAAGACATGAAATGTGGTTGGAGAATAGTGAATAAAGCATTGTGGCTTGACTGTGTATACTTTTGTGAGATGATGTTGACAGGGAGATTGGACCAGATCGTGGGGGATATTGAAACAACAAAAGGAGGTTGAGAAGGTATTGGAGAACCATGGAACGTTTTTTAAGTTGGTGGTGACATGGTCAAAACTTTAATTGGGATGGCAAAGTGAGAGCCTAATCATGAGGAGATTGGCTGTTATTAAGATAGCTTGGGAGATTGGGAGAAAAGTAACCTGGGCTCGCATTTCTCAGTGGTATGTGTGTGTGAACGGACAGGAAGAAATATGATTTAATTCCCAAGGTGGAGAAAAATCTTTAGAACTGAGTGACTGATTAACCAATGAACTCTTTGATAAAGGGAGAAATAAAGAAGATTGTTAAGCTTCATTGTGTATATATAATGGCAGAAATGTTATAGATGACGAATCAGAAAAAGACACCAGTTCAACAGGGAGAATATGAGTTTTCTTTTGGCCCTACTGGATTTGAAGTGAGAATACAGTGTCCATATAAAGGTAGACTACCGGAATTTGCCAGTATGTTTCTGGTTTTTATTTTTATTTATTTATTTTTTTGAGACAGAGTCTCGCTCTGTTGCCCAGGCCGGAGTGCAGTGGCGCGATCTCGACTCACTGTAAGATCCGCCTCCCGGGTTCACACCATTCTCCTGCCTCAGCCTCCTGAGTAGCTGGGACTACGGGCACCCACCACCACTCCCGGTTAGTTTTTTTTATTTTTAGTAGAGACAGGGTTTCGCTGTGTTAGCCAGGATGGTCTCGATCTCCTAACCTCGTGATCCACCCGCCTTGGCCTCCCACAGTGCTGGGATTACAGGTGTGAACCACCGTGCCCGGCCTGTTTCTGGTTTTTAAAAGAGATTCAAATTTAAAAGTCACTTAGAAGTCACTGGTTACTAAATCAATGGAAGTGATGCTTTCACCTTATTGCTTTAATGTTTTCATTTTAAAAGGACTAAACTTTTCATTTGAGTCAAATTAGAGGTTTCTATGGAAGCCTTTGATAGCGTAAATCCATATATTCTTTGATAAGAACTTTATGGCACTTAATTTAGAAAGAAGTCCTTTAGGATGTTAGGACTTTGAACTCAGCAACTTTTTACCCCCAAAATGGGTTAGGAAGAAGGGCTAGATATGAATTTGAAAGGAGCACTTAAAATCATGGTATAGTGGACATGTTGCCTATATGTCAACAGGTTGAAATAAAAAGAAAGAAAGGAAAAAAGAGTCCCTAAAGCTTATCTGCAGTCCTTGTTAGTAAGAAATGACAATATTAATATCAATTTAAGAAAGTTGAGCTTATGAACATGTTGGAGTTTGGAAGGGTTGTACAGCATTCTCCAATTTTCCAGCTTGTATTTTCATTATAAGAAAAAATCTAACTAGATTTACTAATTTAATCTCTCATAATATTTTATCTTGGCATTTACAGAACAGGAAAAGTTAATGGCTAGCCTGAAAGACTCCCATTTGAACTTAGAAGCTCAATATTCAGTGGAAAGAGGAATAAAGCCTAGTAAGAATGAGTGATATTTTGTAGAGGGAAGATTCAGCAGCTCACTCTGAATTAAGGAGAGAAGTCAACATTTCACTAGAAAAAACAAAATACAGAACAGGATTTTATAAAATCAATAGGAAAATAGAGAAGAGACCAACTTCTTCCTAACTGCCCATAGCTTCCTCTCTCTAGCTTCTCAATCTCAGATAAACAAAGAGCAGAGTGAGTGTGACCTATCAATACCCATTCTTCACGTTGACCATCTGAAGGTAAGACAACACTCTTAGATCGCAGATAAGAAGAGATTCAAGGAGAGCTCACACATGGGCAAAGAGAAGAGCTGCCTTGTCTAATATGAGTGAAATGAGAAGAGACAGGATAACAACTATGAGAAGTTCCTATGATTATTTAAAAAATGAAATAAATGACCTTCTCATGCGTAGTACTCTAAATGAGAACACGCCCTAGAAAACAAAAGAAAAACATTCACAACTAATGCTTTGCATTTTTAAAGAAATTATAAAGTGTATAGACTATATAAAACCAAAACTCAAAGATGAAAAGATAACAGACCAGAGAATAGTATGGGAGAACTAGGGAAATGAATTGAGTATAAAAAGACATAATATTGGAACTAATAAAAAATAGTGAGGTAGGCATTGTTGAAAATTAAACCAATGACAAACAGGCTGGAAATAACTCGGATAATGCAAAGAAAAAAGATAAAGCATGAAAGAATTTACAGAAAACATGGTCAATATAAAAAACAATTAACCTTTTCTGGATTTTAAAAAAACACCGAAAAATATTCCAAGATATAATGAGAAAACAACCCCCCGTCAACTTTTCCACTATAAAGAAATTAGTAAGTTTTAACATCTGAAAATGGAAAGGTGCACCATGTTCCATAAATATCAATCTACATAAGGCAAAGTTACTGATTCTTAGGGATAATTAAATATTCAGGATTCAAGGGAAAAAATGAACTAAACAATGAACTAAACATCAGACTGGTTTCAGAACTTTTCCACACAACCTTTCAGTGCCAGAGGACAGTGGAAGAGTATCTAGACTGTTGAGAGAGAAAGAAAATATCAATAAGAATATTTATACCTGGCTCGTTTCAGTTCAGGTGTGAAGATTACAGATGGATGATCTTGAAAATGCAAGGACCTAGGGAATACGACATCCATGATTCTTCCTGGAAAAAGTACTTAATGTAGAAATCCAATCAATTAAGAGATTAATAAACATGTAGAACTTAGAGTTGTACTTGGAATTGAATTTAGTTAGGGTTGATGTTTTGTTAGATGAGTGTAAAGAAGAAAAAGTGGATGAAGGGGCTGAGGGTATGTGTGGTAGTCATTATAATGGTAGGTCATGGGATCTAAGCTGGGTAAGGAGGGAAGGGAGGGCGTGAGATGCGTGTTGTAGCATAAAAAAGTGGCCAGCTTAGTGGATTGACAGATACAGTGAGTTTGACATTACCTTGAGTAATAGGAGTGAAGCTTATTGGAATTATTATAATTCCATATCCATTCCATAATTCCAGTGATCATAATTCCAACTTAATTGGAAGTCATCAGAGGAAGTAATTATCAGAGACAGGGGTGATCAAAACCCAGATATTGAAGATGATGTAGTTGTTGGTGGAAGAGGCAGGATGTAGAAGAAAATTATTGAAAGCAAAAAGGTCAAGAAACTGGAGGGGCAAGGTGTTGACTCTACAGGCATAGCGACTTACCTAAGTTGATGATAGCAGTTGAAAGAAAGTCACGTGCTGAGTGCTACAGTTCTCAGTACATTAAGCGTGTCATGTTCTGATGGCATGTGCTCTGAATTATCAAGGGGGTTTTAAGAAGTAGGGGGTAAGATGTTTGGATGTAGCAAGGAGGAAAAAGTCTGACATCTAATCTACCTTTAGGTTTGGTGGCACATATAGTATGGAGAAAAAATCACCTCTACTTGAAAGAGTTACAGAATATCAGAGTCCATAGAAGACAGACTGCGTTCATGAAGAAGGACGAATAATGCTCAGAAAAGAGGGTGAAGATATTATAGACTACACTGATGAATATGAGTTTCAGAGAAGGAATATAGGGGATTTGGGAGAGGTGGGGTATTGGATTTAGATTGTGGATGTACAAAGTGTTAGGAGGTTAAAAATCTGGTAGAGCAGTGTGCTTGATAAGATTGGATTGTTGAGGTGAATGGAATGAAGGCATAATGTTGGGTTCTCAGGAGCAACGAGGGAATAGTGATTATATGTTCCATATAATAGACTCCTTTTTGTCAATGGCCTGTAAGTTACTTTACTGTGGTCACTGAGAATGCTGTAGGGGTTTGTAGGTGAGAGTGAGTAGGAAAGGTGGTTTTACCAAGAACACAGGCTGTTCTCTGGGCCTCTTTAAGTCTCATCTAAGATGGTAAGACTGTAAGAAAACATTATTACTTGGGCCACAACAGAAAATTCCTTGTACAAAGCCAACATAAACGCATTATCAAAACCTAACAAAGACACACACACACACACACACACACACACACACACACCCCTCCTATGACCAGTCATACTTATGGATAATAATTCAAAATTTTTAAATGAAGCATACGTAGTAGATATACCATTGTTTTTTTTTCTTTGAGAATGATGGATGTTCAAATAGGTTTTTTTTTGCAGGGTGAATTCTTGGCTGCCCTCTGCTCCAATCCTCTCATGTGGGAGATTCACTCTCCAGCTAACTTCTTGTGATTCATCCTCAGAGCCTCTGTGGGGCAGGATAGGTAGTCATGGAAATAGCCATGTCCTTGGGATGCATCCATCATGGTGACCATACAGTCAAAACAATAACCCCCCACATTTGCACTGTAGTCCAGCTTATTCAAGCAAAGCTATCTCCAGTAGGGAATTTCCCCGGTAGGGAGCATGTGCACTTTGATTTTATCTGTCCTCAGACTGACCCTGTGCTCACTATAATACTAAAAAACACACACCCTGGGTGGAGATTTAAGATGCTAATGAGACACGTGACATATGAACAGGCATGTACAGCTACTGTGCATGTGTGCCCAGAGGGCCACCCAGACACCTCTTCCCACTTGCTCATGGATGATTACGTAAGATTCCCATAAAGGGAGTCTCCCTAGTGCCAGTCTTTGCTGTCTCATCCTCACGGGCAGGTCACTCTGACTCCCCTCTCAGTGTGTATTGCCTATTCTGCACTTAACTTTCAAAATATTTTTTTTCCTTTGCAATAAATTACTCTATGTTGCATCTCTTTTCCTGTGTGTTGCTTGTGTAAATTATTTCAAACTAAGAAGAAAAGAATCGAGGTCTCACAACAGGCATCAATACCCAAAGGTACCACCCATAGCTTCTTTTTGCTGAGGTCCCCTTACCCTGGCTGTTTGTTTTGTTTCTTATTTTTATTTTTTGGGAATGAGCTCTTCAGGGGACTTTGACCTGTTGAACTTCTTCTTGATCATCCATTTTTCTCTCAGGCAACTCGTGCATCATTGCCCATCTAAATTATGAAAGAATAGCTGCCTTCTTTGCTGTGCTTTTCTTGTCCTGACATTGCAAGCAGCTCACAGCATGGATTTTTGCATTTGCTCTAGTCAGCCTTGAGTCAGACACCAGCTTCTTTGCTTCTCACACAATAGGTAGCTCTACAGGTGGTCTTCTCGAATCTCCTCTTTTTAGACTTATGGCAAAGAGGAGTAGGTGGGAGAATGCCTCAATTATCCAGCTTTCACATATTTCAGCCTCTTCTACTACCAACCCTTGACTGATTGTTAACTAAGGCTCATAAAAACAGTTTTTAAACATCATTTTTGCAAATTTGAACCTTTAATTTTGTTTCTGAGCCTTTGGGGACCTCACCAAAAGCTGGGGCAAGAAGTTTCCTATTTTAACATGCTGTTAGATACTGTTATTTCCAAAGAGCTAGATGTATCCTTAGCAAAGGTCCTCCACTCTTTCTGCCAAGATCTCAGTCTATGAACAATGAAGCTTAAATGAGATTACCAAACATATACTACTTATATATTAAAGGTATTGATTTCATTTTGACTGTAATTGAAATTAGTATAGTGAAGTAGTGCGTCTTTATTAGACTGACAAAGTTTTAATTCTGGCCCCATGATTTATAAGTTATGACCCTTGGGCAAGTGAATTAATCACTGTGTAAAATCATGATAATGGTCTGCTTCATACTGTTTTCATGGAGATTAAGAGTTAAAATATGTGAATATGTGTTAATCATGTCAAGTAAATAGTACCAATTCAATACAACCTTTTCCAGAAAATCTTTCCAAAGAAATTTCTAGGGAACTACAAACCAATGGCTAAATAAAGATGGATGCACAAATTTTGCAAAAAGTTTAGTAAATTGAACCCAACAATTTTTTTTTTTTTTTTTTTTTTTTGAGACAGAGTCTCGCTCTGTTACCCAGGCTGGCGTGCAGTGGCGATCTTGGCTCGTTGCAACCTTTGCCTCCTGGATTCAAGCAATTCTTCTGCCTCAGTCTCCCAAGTAGTTGGGATTACAGGTGGGCACTAGTTAATTTTTGTATTTTTAGTGGAGATGGGGTTTCACCATGTTGGCCAGACTGGTCTCAGACTCCTGGCCTCAAGTGATCCACCCACCTTGGCCTCCCAAACTGTTGGGATTACAGGTGTGAGCCACAATGCCCCGCCAAACCTAACAGTATTTTAAAAAGATATCACATAATGATCCAGTAGAATTCATCCAAGACTGCAGAGTTGGTTTCACACTGAAAATCAACCTATGTAATTCACCACATTAACAGATTACAAAAGAACCATATGATCACCTCAGTAGATGTGGAAGAAGCTTTGGCAAAATCCAACATTCATTTCTGAAAAAAACAATTAGCAGAGAAAGAAGCTGTGTTAACCTTAATAAAGGGTATCTGTGAGAAACCTACAGTTAACATCAAACTTAATGGTGAAAGACTTAATGCTTTCCTTCTAAGGATAGAAAGAAAATAAGGATGTCTGCTTTAATTGCTTTTGCTCAGTTATCGTACTAGAGGTTCTATCCAATGCAATAGGCAAGAAAAACAAACAAAAGTCATGCCGATAAAAAAAGAAGAAGTAAAACCAATTATATCTAGAGATGACAAGATATAAATACAAAATTAAATTGTATTTGTATATATGGGTGGCAAACAATTAGGAATATAAATTTAAAAAGTACATTAAAAACAGCATTGGAGGTCAGGCGCGGTGGCTCACGCCTGTAATCCCAGCACTTTGGGAGGCCGAGGCAGGCGGATCACGAGATCGGGAGATCGAGACCATCTTGGCTAACATGGTGAAACCCCGTCTCTACTAAAAATACAAAAAATTAGCCGGGTGTGGTGGCGGGCGCCTGTAGTCCCAGCTACTGGGGAGGCTGAGGCAGGAGAATGGCGTGAACCCGGGAGGCAGAGCTTGCAGTAAGTCGAGACAGTGCCGCTGCAGTCCGGCCTGGGCGAAAGAGCGAGACTCAGTCTCAAAAAAAAAAAAAAAAAAAAAAAAAAAATAGCATAACGACGTATACCCTTAACGAAAGATTCTCAAGACCCGTACTTGGAAAACTACCGATCATTGCTAAGATAACTTAAAGAAGGCCTAAATAATTGGAGAATATACAGTGTTTGGATCATAAGTTTCAATGTTATTATTAATTATCCCCCAAATGATCTACATGTGTAACACAATGATAACCAAATCCTTAGAAAGCCTTTTTTTTCAGGCAATTAACAACATTATTCTAACATTTATATAGAAATGCAAAGGACGTAGAAATTCCAAAACAACTTTGAAAAAGAAGAAAGTTGGAGGTCTTCATTAACTGATTTTAAAACTTAGCATATAAATCTGCAGTGAGCAAGAGAGTGTGATTTTGGTGTAAGGATAGAAAAATAGGTAAGTGGAATGCGTTTAATGGGAAAAGTATAATCTTTTCAACAAATGGTTTGGGAACAATCACGTAGCCACATGCAGAAACCCAATACTCAACTCTTACCTCCCAATATCAACAAAAATTATATTGAAATGGTTCATAGACTTAAATATAAACCCTAAAATTGCTGGGTGTGGTGGCTCATGCCTGTAATCCCAGCACTTTGGGAGGCTGAGGTGGGCAGATCACCTGAGGTCAGGAGTCTGAGACCAGCCTGGCCAACATGGTGAAACCCTGTCTCTACTAAAAATACAAAAATTAGCCGAGCATGGTGGCGCATGCCTGTAATCCCAGCTACTAAGGAGGCTGAGGCAGGAGAATTGCTTGAATCCGGGAGGCGGAGGTTGCAGTGAGCCGAGATCTCACCATTGAACTCCAGCCTGGGTGACAGAGTGAGACTCTGTCTCAAAAAAAAGAAAAAAACATGTCAAAAGTATAGGACTTCTAGACGATAACATAGGAGAAAACTTTAGTGGTCTTGGCCTTGGAAAATATTTCTTAAATACAACACCAGAAACACAATTCATAAGAGAAAAAAATTAATATTGTGCATTACCATCTAAAACAGTTTATTCTGTTAAGCAAATAAACCAGGAAAAATATTGCAAACATGAATCTGATAAATAACTTGTAATTAGAACATAAAAATGTCTAATAAAAAGAAATAGCATAGTAGAAAATGGGCAAGATATACAAACAGATGTTTTATCAAAGGAGTTATACAGATGATAAACACATCAAAAGAGGCTTAAGATCATTAGTCACTAGGGAAATGAAAATTCCACCACAATGAGTTATCACTACTCACCCACTGAAATGACAGAAATTTTAAAAGTCTGAGCATATTACATATTGGGGGGCTGTAAACTTTTTTATTTTTAATTTTACTTTAAGTTCTGGGATACATATGCAGAACGTGCAGGTTTGTTACATAGGTATACATGTGCCATGGTGGTTTGCTGCACCTGTCAACCCATGATCTAGGTTTTAAGCCCCACATGCATTAGATATTTGTCCTAATGTTTTCCCTACCCTTGCCCCCAACCACCTGATAGGCCCCGATGTGTGATGTACCCCTCCGTGTGTCCATATGTTCTCATCGTTCAACTCCCGCTTATGAGTGAAAACATGTGGTGTTTGGTTTTCTGTTCCTTGTTAGTTTGCTGGAGGGACTATAAACTCTTATACATTACTGGTGTGAATGTAAAATAATAAAATCACTTTGGAAAACAGTTTGGCATTTTCTTAGAAAGATGTATGAACACCTACCGTATGACCCCTGCATTCCACTTCTAGGAAGAGTAGAAGGAAAGTGGAAACATATGTCCACCAAACAGGTTGTACCTTAATATTCACAGAGACTCTATTTGTGATGGTTACAAACTGGAAACAACCAAAATTTCCATTACCTGTTTAATGGAATGAGGTATATTCACACAATAAAAAGGAATGAATTATTAATACAAGCAACAATATGAATGAATCTCAAAAAAATTATGTTGAGTGAATGAAGCCAAACAAAAAGAGTACATATGGTATGATTCAATTTATATAAAATGACATATAAAAATGCAGACTAATCTATCACGATAGAAAGAAGATCAGCTGTCTGGGGATGAGAAAGCAGGGAGTGGTGTGAGGGAGGGATTGCACCTTAAGAAGTTAATAGTAGCTTAATATTTTAGCTATTGTTATAATTATTACTATTATTAGCCTCTCACCTCCACAAATGGAAAAGGAATGAAAGAGAGAGAATATTGAGATTACGTAAGAAATGACTGAGAAAACCTTGGAGTTTGTTTTGAATGATTAGACCAAATTTCTGTTATTATGTGAAATAGTGTGTTCAAATTGAGGTTGAGTTACAGAAAAACAAGAAAATAATTTTATTTTTGGTTAACACAGAGAGTCTGAAATATTCTACCCTTTACACTCACAACACATATACACATTGTGGCCGTCAATCCTGTTTTGTATTTTTCTGTGTCGCATCAATGATCATTTTCATGTTGAAGATCATAAATCATAGTTCTATATTTTCAATGCCAATCTCTAAAGCTGCTTGATCACAAGAGGAACCACTACCACACATTTCATGTACCTTTCTTGGCTTTGCATTCTGTCTTCCTCGCTGGATACAGGGAACCCCACCAGCAATCAGTATAGGCTGTTGACTGGTGGACTCAAAGTGCCTGTGGGTTTTTTGTCTTCCGTGATGTTTCTCTATTGTTGACAATCTCTGGGCTGAGTGAGAGATAAAGATTCTAGGAGTTTTCGCATGGTTTTTGACGAAAGGTTTTACTGTTTTTTCCTAGGTATGTGTTTGAAAATGTGCAGCGCTCTAGTAGCATTTTGAAGGTGGGGCCAAAGATGTTAACTATCTTCCAATCATGGGATAATCCTCAACAACCAAGAATTGCGTCAAAGGCTAAAAGCACCGCTGTGGGGAATCACTGAGTCCTAGTCAACGATATTATAAGGCAAAGGAAATACAGAGACAGGGATGTTGAACCAAATGATCTTCATGCTCTCTCAAGTGCACTTTTTTTATACATGGAAGTTTGGGCTCATGTTTTATACTCTGTTATGGTTGCCTTGCAGTGGGCATGAGGAACATATCCACTTAGGGATGACCTATTATATCCCCATTGACTTCAATACAGCACCACAAGGCTTCAATACCAAGAGCACTAGACAAGGTCTGTTTTCACGCTGCTGATAAAGACATACCCCGGGCTGGGCACTTTAAAAAAGAAAGAGGTTTAATGGACTTAGAGTTCCACGTGGCTGGGGAGGCCTCACAATCATGGCGGAAGGTGAAAGGCATGTCTCACGTGGTGGCAGACAAGAGAAGAGAGCTTGCACAGGAAAATTCCCGTTTTTAAAGCCATCAGATCTCGTGAGACTTATTCACCATCAGGAGAACAGCACGGGAAAGACCCGCCCCCATGATTCCATTATCTCCCACAGGGTTCCTCCCACAACACATGGGAATTTGGGAGATACAAGATGTGATTTGGGTGGGGATACAGAGCCAAACCATATCACAAGGATACAGGTCATTTTATTAGAAAGGTCAAAAACTGGTCTGATGTCAAAGGGGCGGTAGAGACGGAAAAAGAGCTCAGGGCTTCTGATTCTCACTTCAGTTCTAACACTGAAATGGGAAGTTTGAAATTTCTTGAAAATTAGCAAATAAGTAATATAAATTAGAACAGTATACGCTTTCTCCTTAAAAACAGCACAATATAAAGTGAACGCACATTTCTCAATGTGCGTTCACTTTTTATTGTGCTTTTTTCTGTTTTCATTCAGAGCTTAAGAACGTGGCCTCTGGAGTCTGACTTCCTGGAACAAATTCCAGCTCTGCTATTTCTGTGGTGAAGGCACAATTTCTTCATCCGTACCAAGGGGGAAGAATAGGATTGTTTTGGGGATTATAGAAGATAATTTATATCAAGCCCTTACCAGTGCCTAGAATACAGTGAGTCCTCAAATGTTAGCATAAGTTTTGTTTAATGTCTGCCTACGTGCTGAGATCCTAATGAATAAAGCATGCATTACAGTACAATTATAAGCCTCAAATCTGTTGTTCTCTAGACTTTTAATCAACTTATAGTAGCCATACAATTTGGAAATTATTATATATGGTTATAAGATTCCTATAATTGCTTTGTAAAGTGACATGATTTAAAAGAACAGTTGGCCAGATGCAGTGGTTCACATCTGTAATACCAGCGCTCTGGCGGGCTGAGGCAGGAGGATTACTTGACCCCAGGAACTCCAGGCTGCAGTGAACTCTAGTGAGAGGCTGCTTGCTCACTCTAGACTGGGCAACAGAGCAAGAGTCTGTCTGAAAAAAAAAAGAAGAAAAATCTGTGCTATCTACAGAGCTGATGGTGGAAAATAACCCCATTGATTGCCTGAAACTGAGGAACATCAATATGGTAATTCATGTGGTCTTGAGGATTTTTTATACACACAAATTTTTAATCGTCTAGCTAAATGTTCTTCATACCTTTAAAAGTTTGCCTCGTCTCACTTTCTTTTATTGCCTACATTTATTTCTAAATGTATTATTGGTGACTGTACCTTTCCCTGTCTCCCTGAAAGATTGTGAAATTATTTTCAAGTTTTAACTGGCTTCGTTAGTAAGTGAGAGCTAATTAGCGACATTTCTGTTTTGTCGTTCACTCTATATATCCATTATGACATTTTACCATATAAATGCCAAATGAGACTGTAAAAAACAAAATTTTCGAACTATCCACTAGGTGGAGGCCTTGCTCTTCCATTCAATGTAGATTTTCTTTTAAAAAAATATAAGTGAAATTTAGATTTCTCTCTTTGTGAAAAGCTGAATTAAGAACTCTGTTTAACGTCATGGTTATATCTTGGCTTTGCTGAGTTTGACAATGCAGAATTCACTTGAGGAGAAAAGACATTTGTTGATCTGTGAACAGTGTTTAGTTTCCTTGTTTCTTTATCCTTCATGGACTACTCAAGCAACAGTCTGACATAAAATATTGTTTTTCACAGAAATGTCACTCTGCTCTAAAGACTAGATCGATGGACTCCCTTATGCCTCTTTACAGAGATGGCTTGCTGAAGGATCTCTGTGTCATATAATTGTACTTATTAGTCTCGATCTCTTTACCATGTTGATGGAAATTTTCGGAAGAAATGTAGGAGTGATATGAATGCTTCTGGGGTTTTTTAAGCAGATTTACAAAAAAAAGAAAGGTAACTTTTAATGGCCCATTTGAATTTGAATCTCCAAATAGTTCCAAGTAACTAGCATTTAATTTTAGCGTCTCTACAGATCAATTTTGCTTATCAGATTATATCACTTTAGCAATAGATGGGATAATATGAAATGATAGAATGATGGAAGTATATTAACTGGTAAGAGCTAAGAGCTGGCAGAAATTTATGTTCTATTTTGGTTAGCAAATGTAGTCCTGTTCAAAACACCACGATTATCATTTACCTGGTACTCAGGAAATTTAAGGTAGAATGATGGTGTAGCTGCTTGGGAAAAGTTTGGCAGTGTCTTAAAATGTTAAATGTAAATATACCATAGGACCCAGCAATTTCAATTCTAGCTACCTAAGAAAAATAAAATTATATATTCACACGAAGACTTGTATGTAAATGTTCATTCACAGTTTTATTTATATTAGCCAGAAAATGGAAAGAACTCAAATGTCCATTAGCTGATGAGTAGAGAAACAAAAAATTGTATAACCACACAACACAATACTATTGGCCAATGGAAAGGCATGGAGTACTGACACACGCTGCTGCATCTATGAACCTCAGAAACATGGTGCTAAGTAGAATCAGCCAGACACAAAAGACCACATATTGTAGAATTCCACTTAAAGGAAAAGTCCAGAAAAGGTAAATTGATAGTGACAGAAAGTAGATTAATGGTAACCTGGGAGTTGCAGTGGTCATAAGGAGTGCCTGCAGACAGACATGGCGTTCCTTTCTGGAGTGATGGAGATGTTTTAAAATTGGATTGTAGTGATGGTTGCACAGCTCTGTACACTTCCTAGCAGCCAATGAATTGTACACCTAAAACTTATTGTATGTTTAAAGCTATTAAAAACGAATAGAATGAATCAGAAGATCAAATGTTTCATGAACATTTTGTAGGGAAGAAATCAAACTCATCAGATATTTCAGCTTCCCAGGCCAGGCCAGGTTTTGTCTTCAAGAATCAGAAAAGAGTAGGAATGCATGACTTTTTTTTTCTGTCACCTTGAGAAAAACAGCCAAATGCGTCTAAATCAAAGCCTCAGAATTCAAGCTATAGCACTTGTGTTTGCCTGTGACCTGTAAAAATTCCTTTAACTCTTACAATCTACCACTCTCTGAACTCGACGAGACTCTCTTAGTTACAGTCCTTTCTCTCAAGGCGTATGAACACCATGTTGTTTGCTTATCTTGAGGAATTAAATACTATTATTGGGAGGTGAAGTGCATACAAAAAAGAATGATTATTTCTTTTAGAGGCAGGGTCTCACTCTGTCACCCAGGCTGGGTGGCATGATCGTGACTCACCGCAGCCTTGAACTCCTGGGCTCAAGTGGTCCTCCTGCCTCAGTCTCCAAAGTAGCTGGGACTGCAGGTACATGTTACCATGTCCAGATAATTTTAAAACGTTTTTTGTTTGTTTGTTTGGTTTTGGAGAGACAGGGTCTTGCTATGTTGCCCAGGCTGGTCTTGAACTCCTGGCCTCAAACGATCCTCTCGCCTTGGCCTCCCAAAGTGCTGAAACTACAGTCATGAGCCACTGTGGCTGGCAATAATGTTTTTTTCTTTTTCCAGCTAACTTCTGACAAACTGTGAAACCTTGGCCACCATTTTCAGTATGTCTTTGAAATTGTACTTTGCCCTTATGTGGCCAGAACAATGGGTAATATTTTCTGACATCACAGATGCAGAATTTTGGCATAGCTTAGTTCTAAAAACCACTTAAGATAGAAATCTTCAAGGAAAATATTTGAAGTAAAATAGTATTCACAAATACAGTGATAATTTTGCTTATGAAAATGAATCTATTCTTATCTCTCTCCCTCAAACCTTATTAATAGTCACAACTATTTTGAGAGTCGTTGAAAATGTTTGAAATTAGTTTTACAAAACCCATCAAAAAGCTGCTTAGATTTAAAAGGAAATGATGGAGTGTTTGTCTATGTATGGTTGTCTTTTCCATCTTGGCGAGCAAGCACTTTTTCTTATATGTTTTTGAGAAATTTTCCTTGAAGGAGTTATCTTGTGAGTGTTCATGCATCCCACTGGTGGTTAGACCGCATTCCATAAGCTACTCTACTCTTTAGCGCAAACTTTCTGTCTTTCAATCGCTTGATAACTACTGGGTGCTTACTATATCCTGAGCTCTGTGCTAGACCCATCTTTGATGTTGTTATAGCAGCTAACCAACCTAATACATTTCCTGTCTTCAAAACCCATTTTTAATGAATAAGACCTAGTATTTGATAGCACACCAGGGTGACTATAGTCAGTAATAATTTAATTGTACTTTAAAAACAACTAAAAGTGTACAACTGGATTGTAACACAAAGGACAAATGCTTGAGGGGATGGGTACCCCATTTACCCTGATGTGATTATTATGCATTGCATGCTTGTATCAGGATATCTCCTGTACCGCATAAATATATACACCTACCATGTACCCACAGAAATGAAAAACAAACCATTTGTAAAGATGATCTTTAAACAGAAATCAATAGATGGTCGACCAAGGTATAGAAAAATTTAGAATCTCCATTTATCTTAAAATTTTTTAAAACTTTGTTTCTGAGAATGTTTAAAAGGTATATTATATATAAGTACATGTGTATAATCTATAAATTATAAAATCCACACATTAAAGGTACATGCTCATATTATTTACTGATAGAAGCTTAAATGAAAAATGTTTGCAAACCACTGGTTTATTTCATTAGTGATACTAATGGGTGGCTTGTGAGAAATTTTAGACCCTCATAGACCCAATTTACTCTCATAGTAATAATGAACCCCTCCAAATCATACCAAATAAACAATAAATAGAAGCAGAAACATTACGCCTGCTATTTAAATGCAGCTTCAGTATAACTCCCCTATCCACCATATCATCTAGTCACTTCTCTGTCTTAAGTACTTTAAATGTTGAAAATTTACAGCACTAGCATCTCATTCATTCCTCTCATTCATGTAGCATTAAGCAATTAAGGTACTACATGGAGAGGAATAAGTATTAGTGAGAGGTGACAGCGTGCTGGCAGCCCTCGCTGGTTCTCAGCACCTCTTCGGCCTTGGCGCCCACTCTGGCGGCGCTTGAGGAGACCTTCAGCCCACCGCTGCACTGAGGGAGCCCCTCTCTGGGCTGGCCAAGGCCGGAGCTGGCTCCCTCAGCTTGCAGGGAGGTGTGGAGGGAGAAGCATGGGTGGGAACCGGGGCTGCGCAGCCCTTGCAGGCCAGCTCGAGTTCCAGGTGGGTGTGGGCTCGGCGGCCCACACTGGGAGCAGCTGGCTGCCGCCGGCCCAGGCAGTGAGGGGCTTAGCACCCAGGCCAGCAGCTGCGAAGGGTGCACCGGGTCCCCCAGCAGTGCTGGCCCTGGGCCTCAGCTGCCTCCCCGTGGGGCAGGGTTCAGGACCTGCAGCCCACCATGCCTGAGCCTCCCGGCCATGGTGGGCTCCTGTGCAGCTGGAGCCTCCTTGAGGAGCACCGCCCCCTGCTCCATGGCGCCCCATCCCATCGACCGCCCAAGGGCTGAGGAGTGTGGGCGCAGGGCGTGGGACTAGGGGGCAGCTCCTCCTGCAGCCCTGGTGTGGGATCCACTAGGTGAAGCCAGCTGGGCTCCTGAGTCTAGTGGGGACTTGGAGAACCTTTAGGTCTAGCTAAGGGATTGTAAATACACCAATCAGCACTCTGTGTCTAGCTCAAGGTTTGTAAATGCACCAATCAGTGCTCTGTGTCTAGCTGATCTGGTGGGGACTTGGAGAACCTTTATGTCTAGCCAAGGGATTGTGAATGCAGCAATCAGCACTCTGTGTCTAGCTCAAGGTTTGTAAATGCACCAATCAGCACCCTGTGTCTAGCTCAGGGTTTGTGAATGCACCATTCAGTGCTCTGTGTCTAGCTAATCTAGTGGGGACTTGGAGAACTTTTGTGTCTAGCTCAGGGATTGTAAACACACCAATCAGCACCCTGTCAAAATGGACCAATCAGCTCTCTGTAAAATGGACCAATCAGCTCTCTGTAAAATGGACCAATCAGCAGAATGTGGGTGGGGCCAGATGAGGGAATAAAAGCAGGCTGCCCAAGCCAGCAGTGGCAACCTGCTCAGGTCCCCTTCCCCACCGTGGGAGCTCTGTTCTTTCGGTGTTTGCAATAAATCTTGCTGCTGCTCACGCTTGGGGTCTGCACTGATTTTATGAGCTGTAACACTCACCGCCAAGGTCTGCAGTTTCACTCCTGAGGCCAGCAAGACCACAAACCCCCCGGGAGGAGTGAACAACTCCGGATGGGAGGAATGAACAGCTCCAGACGTGCTGCCTTAAGAGCTGTGACACTCACTGTGAAGGTCTGCAGGTTCACTCCCGAAGCCAGCGAGACCACGAACCCACCAGAAGGAAGAAACGCTGAACATGCCTGAACATCAGAAGGAGCAAACTCCGGACACATCACCTTTAAGAACTGTAACACTCACCACGAGGGTCTGTGGCTTCATTCTTGAAGTCAGTGAAACCAAGAACCCACCAATTCCAGACACATTAGGAATGTTGGCAGCACACAGCGGGAGTAGGCTAGCCAGATCCTGGAGTTAGAAGAAACTTTGCTATGGATGTAGCATCTAACTTGAAAATAGAAGGCAATGTAGAATTTGTTATTCTATTTCTAAGAAGTAGAAGAAGAGCCTTCTGAGAAGACACCAACTGCAAGCCTTTAATGCTTATTAATAGCAGTAAAGAGCAGCATGCAAATTTGAGGTTATTAATAGTAGAGTGAAGCCAGGTGAGGAGGCTTATGCCTGTAATCCCAGCGCTGTGGGAGGTTGAGGTGGGAGGATTGCTCGTGGTCGGGAGTTTGAGACCAGCCTGGGCAACATGGCAGGTCCTATCTATGGGACCAAGAAGCATGAAGACCTTCTGTAGTTGGTTGTATAATCCAGAGGAGAGATGGCATCTGGCATTAAATGAGCGATAAGGAGGACAGAGGGTAATGATGTGCTTAATACGTAGAATATACAGGAGATGGTGGTTGATAGGATATGGGGGATGAGGACTGTGACACTCAGGTTACTGAGATACAGAAAATGAACAGGTTTTTCAGTTGGAGAAAGACAACTGGATTTTGCGAATTATGGAATGTAAGGTGTCTGCAGGGTGTCTAAGAGAGCTGGTATACATTTTGATATATAGGCCTGAACTTCTGTGTAGAATTCTGAGCTGAAGATAGAGATTTCAGGGTTGTCTGCATAAATATGGAAACTGAAACTGCATGAGTGAGTGAGGTGCCCAGACTGAATATGTAGAGTGTGAAGAGAAGACGCTTGGAACAGAGCCCCTAGAAACTCCAGCACTTGATGGATCGGTAAAAGAATAGTAGCTTGCAGAGAGAGGGAGCTGTGAGAGTCAGAGAACAAGGAAAGGAGGAGAGAGTAATGCGCTCATATCCAAAGAAAGGGACTACTTCAAATGGAGAAAGATGTCGAATGGAGAATACTGTAGAGAATAAGATAAGAACTAAAAATAACCACCAGGTCACCTTGGCAAAAGAGCTTTACTGAAGTGATGGGAACGGATCTAGGACTTGAATAAGTGAAGTGTAAAACGTCTCTTCACAGAAATCTTTATATGTGTGTGTCTATTAATTGAAAAGAGATGGACGGGCATGGTGGCTCGTGCCTGTAATCCCAGCACTTTGGGAGGCCGAGGCAGGTGGATCACTTGAGGTCAGGAGTTCGAGAGCAGCCTAGCCAACATGGTGAAACCCCTTCTCTACTAAAAATACAAATATTAGCTGGGCTTGGTGGCACAGGCCTGTAATCCCAGCTGCTCGGGAGACTGAGGCAGGAGAATTGCCTGAACCTTGGAGGCGGAGGTTGCAGTTAGCCGAGATTGTGCCACTGCACTCCAGCCTGGACAACAGAGTGAGACTCTATCTCAAAAAAAAAAAAAAAAAAAACGAAAAAGAGATAGTAATGATCTGGAGTAGATGAAATAATTCCTTCACTTAATTAATGTGTTCCGCTTCCTAGGAAACGTAACAGCCTAGTTAATATACATGTGTCCTTAAAAAAGCCCCTAAAGTAGTTAAGGATAAGAATGCCTGGCTCTAAAGAAGACTGGAGACAAAGACCTTCAATTTCTGGCTAAAGAAAGCTTCAAGGTCGTAAAGATCACTACATAGTCAGTGGCCTGCTTTTCCCATAGAGAAGGCTAGAACTTGCGGTGAATTGTGCTTTTCTTTTTTCTTATACCCTGAATCCTGTCAATTACCCACTGTCATTTGCTCTGCACTGTTTTTAGTACCTGCTTTTTATAATTATCAGCCCTTGTTTTTTATAATTATCGGTAATTGTCCAGATTGTTAACTATAGGAAGCCAGAATACTGAAACACAAACTACTGGGGTGCAGTCTAGGAATGGGATATAATTGCTCAGGCCCTGATATTGGATTGATTCTGCACCAAGCCTCAGTTTCCCTGTCTGTAAATTATGGGAGTTCATAGTGAGCTCATCATGTTGTTGTAAGGATTAAATCAGACAAGATGTATGTAAAGCACTTAGTTGGCTGGCCAGCTGTAAACATCTAAATACAAGTTCATCACTAGATAAATTATTGTTTCACCTTAAAAAAATGTCATTTCAAACAGGCTTTGTGTGTACAGAGAAGCCATTCCAAGGTCAAGATTAAAGTCAATATCAGGGTTGTAAGAATAAAGTTGATAGTGTGTTTATCTGCAGTATTCATTTGCCTGCTGTATTGAAAATCCAGAGATAATCTTCTTAGTGTCAGTCAACCCTCTACTGCTTCTGCCTTGGCATTAGCAAAAACTCAGCTGTCCTTTTCTGCATTATGTTGCCAATTTATGATTGTTGGCATTCCCGCTTCCTGTAGCGGAATTATCGTCTTTCTGGGTGTCCCTTAAATATTGTAAGGTTCAGTTGAATCTGCTTAAGAAATCCCAGGTCACTCAGCACAAGAGTTCTCAGTTGTCTGATGATATTTGGAACTGCTGTCAGAGCCTGAGGGTGTATCCTCTACACTTAACCGTGTTGGAAGTTCAATTATTAGCACTTTGAAGACCAAAAGATACTTAGATATGTCTAAGATCATTAGCATTATGAATTTATTAGCCACCAACATCAAACGCACAAGGCTATTAGAGCAAAGAGAAAAATTAATCTTTAACTGCCAGCAAAGAGAAAATTGAAAAAAAGGTAAAAATGCAAATGTATATTCTCAGGGTACAGAAGAATTGCAAAATTCTGGAGTGGCTAAAGTGTATTCTAAACAAGGGTTATGGAAAGATTGAATAAACATGAAATATTCATGTTTTAAGTAATCACTAGCTTGTTCTAGTATCTCTCTAATTTAACAAGTAATAGAAACTTTGGAGAGAAGGAAGAACACTGGCTCAAAAAAGTTGAAAATATTGACAAAGTGTGAACAAAGTGATGCATGATGGATAATAGAATCTAAGTAATTAGTATAGAATATGAAGGCAGGATGGGTTTGAAAAGGATCCAAGAAAATAGAGGAGGCAGTAGACCTAGAAATTAAAAGATGTGGTAGAATGAGAATTTAATACGTCAAAGCCAGACCAATTCTAGATAACAGGTGACAAGACTTAAGCCCCTGGTCTTGTCCAATTGTCCTATTCTTGCTTATCTGCAGTATTGCTACCCTGACTGTTACTTTTGGAGACAATATGGACTAGAGATAAGTTACCTTTATAACATTTGAAAAATGTAGCAGGATGCATGCTTACCCTTAGGGGAATGAGTCACTCTGTCTATTACAGTGTGGAAATAACAATCTGTCTTCCTACATAAATTTTTACACTAATTTAACTGTTTTGTGATGTGGTTTGGGATCATTTGGATTCAGAGAATCCTGTACACGAGCCACTATTTTGTGATAATATTTTCTAATTTCGGTTTAAAATTTTTTTTTTGCATACAGTTTCCAGGATTACCTAAAAAGAGTGGTTCAGGTATACACATTCTACAAAAAAAACCTGTGTATTAAAAAACATTCATTGCCTGCTCAATTGCATAGTAATTCTTAGAATTTTTAACGACAGGAGTTTGTGAGCTATAGACTGAAAAATGATCAAAGAGCCAGTAGCGCTAACCTTACTTCTATTTATAGTTATCATAATGGCCCCCAGTCCTGACTGCGACTCTTGTTCAACTTCAGTCATCCGGAACCCATTACCCAGGTTTCAATGCATTGGCTTATTCTCTTGCTTAAAGTTTCACTGATGAATGTTTTTTCATATTTGGTGCCTGCCTTTGGAAAGATAGCTGCAAGCAAGGAACACTCATTAACTCAGTTATATAAGGGGGGAAGCGTTGAAGAAAGGCAAACTTTTCTTACCGATGTAAAGACATTTTTGGAACTGTTAAATCTCTAGAGGAGAAAATGATTTTGCAATGCATATTCCATGCCTTGTAGAGTCTATCACAAACACAGCCACTGACGTTTAAAGGTACTATTTAAGAAAACACAGCTGGTAGGCATAATATTTAAATATTGCCCCGACGTGATGCCCGGCAGCTGCTGCTGCATAACATTTGAAGTGCATAATAGTCAAAGTTAGAGCCGTCTCCAGGGAAGTGTTCAGAGAGAGTGAACTGAAACTTGTTCTCTAGTCTTTTCTCCCGGATGGGAAGCAATGACGTGGGGAGAGAGCGCGGAGGAAGGGAGAGATCCAGAAAGGTAGATTCTTCTGTGTAGGTGAGTGGATGAGATAATGAAGCAAGTTAATTTGGGCTCTGCTGACTTATTTATCTGTCCCGGGCACTTTTCTCTGTACAAGCACAGGAAGCCATCTCCTTCCTGAGGTTTTTAATGAAACAATTTACTTGAAATAATAATAAAAAAGAAGAGCTTCACATGCTGCTTGCATTTAAATTAGAGTCTTTCCTCTCCAGAGTAGGCTTTGTAATTGATTAGTAACACTGGGATGAAAATATCCCAACTATCTCTGAGAAAGGTGGATTAATTCACTTGTGGTACGCTAAATGATTTGGATTGTTTTTCTCCATCTCTTAAAATGTGACCATGACAGATATTGAGAAAGTTAATGAGTGTATGGTTTTTTTTCTTCTTAAAAAGAAGACAGCTATTTAAAAAACAAAAATGAGAAAAAAAGAATCTTAGTTTTATGAGATAGTGACCAATGTTTCTCCCCAGAAGTTGTATAATTCTGATTTACAACCGTGGTGACTCATGTTTCTCCCCTAAAGTTGTATAATTCTGACTCTACAACTGATTTATAATTCAAACTTTAAAATGGATTCAGACTGACTCTTTGTAATATTCAGGTTGTACCATCCCGTGCCGAATGTGAATGCAGAGAGGGCAAACACTTTATTTTGGGAATGTTTTACTTAGTGCCAGGTATTCTGTGAGTGTAAAGTGTTAATTGATGTTGTTGACTCCAGAGATACTTACGTTTGGGATTACATTTTTGAATACTGAATTAATTTTAGAAACCATGTCTAATTGAAGTATACATCTTTTTGTGTTTAAACCTTTAGAATGATATTCTTTACTTTTCCAATTACTTGTTCCACTCTTTGAAAATCACTAGTGTTAGCAAACTCTTCATTATATTTAAATACATTTATAGAATCACAGGTCTCTTCTTTAAGATGCTATTTCTTTGCTCCTAGTAGCCCTCAGAGGATTCAGTACAACATTTAAAAATCTAAAATCTTATGGAAGCAACCTGTGATTTTCTTTTATATTACATTCCAGTGTCAAATAACTGTTACAGTTGAGAACTTTTTCCTGCCAAAACTAAATTCCTCCCCTTAAATTTTAAGCCTATATATCAGAACCCAGAACAAGACCCTCTCTACCCACCCTGTACAAAGCTATCATTCTCTTTTTCGCCTGGAATGGTGACACAGAAAAAAAAGCTGTTTGGTTTCACATAAGGAGCCAATTTTTCATCTTGACAAACTCATGTGATTACTGTGTTTACTGATATAGTTCCTTGACCAGGCTTTGAGTCATCTCTTTGGAGATTTTACCACTTTTGACTGTAAGGGAAGAGAAAGTTATGTGGTGCTATTTCTCCAAGAGTGTCTAGGACTTGCAGTACAAATGCTGTGGGATAATAATTTCACCCAGCAGGCTCTAGGAAACTAACAGCAGCTTTCTAGGTGATTAAAATTTCAAAAGACCTAGATACCCATTTAAATGTAATAGGATTGAAGATGAAAGTGCTTAGGGTGTTTGGTTAATTCCTTAGGATCTAGCCTAGACTTGTTACAGCTAATGTCCAATTAGAGGACAATGTCCATTATTAGCCTAAAGTTTTCTCTAAATTTCCATTTTCAATGCAAATCTAATTATCACAAACATATTAAATTATTGGGGATGAGTGGAGCAAAGAGGAAAGGATAATCATTGCATATTCACCATTGCTTCCATTTGTAAAGACAATCACTGTTGGAGATCAAAAGATAGCTAAGACAGTGTTCTTGCTTTTAAAGACCGAATGTTCTCGAAAGTGTAAAAGCTAAGTACAAAAGTATGGCTTTCATAACGTGAGAAGAGAAGAAACCCAGAAATGGAAGAAAAATAGTGGTTGTTGGGGAAAGACCAGTAATCCAGTCACAAATACTGAACAAAGTGCTGACCCACAGGGGTGAGGAAGTATGCGGAATTGAAGAAGAAAGGATATTACTTGAATTAGAGCTCTGGCTACTTTGAATAGCAGCAGGAGCTGTACAAATAACTCCTTAAGTGACTTGAGTGAGAGGACATAGTCAGATTTTTATAAAAAAATATTCCAACTCTTTCCTTGAATTTATAATGGCTATTTTTATTGCTTTAAGATTTAGGATTACTGCCATATTGAAGAAAATGAGAACAAAAACTTTTCAGTCTTTCCAGAAAATTGCCTGGAAGGAGAAAAAGAAGCAATAAGTGAACATGACAAATCAATGAGTCGAAGTGGTCATAGGATGTTCCTATTATTTAAATGTTAAGGCTGGTTTATGTCTTTAGCATTGCCTGGTGGTCTTACAATCAATTTACCTTAACAGTTTGCCACCCAACCAAGGAATAAATAATAATGAAAATGTGTATTACAACATTCATTTTATTTTTCACATTCTCAGTGAGTGAAAAGTAATTGAAACAGGATGTAGGGGGAAGAGCAGTCCTGTCTCATGACTACTCTGAGGCTGTTTCCTCATCTGTAATGTCTGTGCTGTTAGTTTTGATAGGTGACTGTGTAATGCAGAGATTTGAATAACTTGCCAGCTGCTTTTTGTCACATGGGTTGCCAAGGAATAACTGTGATGCAAAGGACAGTTAAGGCAAACGTACATGCTAGTATTGCCTGCTGAGGATTTGACCGTGTTACCCTGTGTTGGCTGGGCACAGTGGCTCACACCTGTAATCCCGGTACTTTGGGAGGCCAAGGAGGGCAGATCGCTTGAGACCAGGAGTTCAAGACCAGCCTGGCCAATATGGTGAAATCCCATCTCTACTAAAAATACAAAAAAATAGCTGGGCATGGTGGCATGTGCCCATAATCCCAGCTCTTTGGGAGTCTGAGGCAGGAGAATTGCTTGAACCTGGGAGGTGGAGGTTGCAGTGAGCTGAGATTGTGCTACTGCACTGCAGCCTGGGCAAGAGAGCGAGACTCCGACTCAAAAAAAAAAAAAAAAAAAAAAAACAACCCTGTGCTGTATCTTATTATGGTAAACAGAAGGAACAGAATGAATGTGAGACTCCAAAGGTCATTTTCTTGCCTAGCTGAAGGCTTAGATGTGCCCACTGGCCTCCTTATTTCGTGCAGTTTTTTTACATAGGTATACACGTGCTGTGGTGGTTTGCTGCACCCATCAACCCGTCCCCTACATTAGGTATTTCTCCTAATGCTCTCCCTCCCCTTGCCCCCCATCCCCCCACAGGCCTTGGTGTGTGATGTTCCCCTCCCTGTGTCCATGTGTTCTCATTGTTCAACTCCCACTTGTAAGTGAGAACATGGCGGTGTTTGGTTTTCTGTTCTTGTGTTAGTTTGCTGAGAATGATGGTTTCCAGATTCATCCATGTTCCTGCAAAGGGTATGAACTCATCCTTTTTTATGGCTGTACAGTATTCCATGGTGTATGTGGAGAAATAGGAATGCTTTTACACTGTTGGTAGGAGTGTAAATTAGTTCAACCATTGCGGAAGACAGTGTGGGGATTCCTCAAGGATCTAGAACTAGAAATACCATTTGACCTGGTAATCCCATTACTGGCTATATGCCCAAAGGATTATATATCATTCTATAAAGACACATGCACATATGTGTTTATTGGGGTACTATTCACAACAGCAAAGACTTGGAACCAACCCAAATATCCATCAATGATAGACTGGATAAAGAAAATGTGGCACATATTTCCTTATTCTTGACTCCTGTGGTCTTACCTCTCTGATGAGATTAGAGGAAACATGAAGATGAATACAAGGTAGAAACAACATACCTTTTTTGAGATAATAGAGAAGAGCTAGCTTAAGCCATTGAATTCACGGTTGTTTTTTCTTAGATTCTACCATGATCCTGCTAGGTCTTCGAGGGTGCCTCACCCGTGCACCAAGGAGGAAATCCACATCACGGGGGAGGAAAGAGAGAAAAAGAAAAGCCACAAGCATACAAACAAAAACAGACAAACAGTTGTGCCACTCAAGTAAAGTATGCAAAGAGAGAGAATAATTGAACAAAAGATAATCCAGACAAATAATTCCAAGTAGATGGCTGACCCACTGATTCATTTATACATAGAAATCTTGCAGTGTCTACTGGGTATGAGGTACTTCCTTAGGGTCTAAGACAGACAAGGACCCTTTGTTCATGGAAGTTACATTTTAGTGGGATGGGAGAAACAATAAACGAGTAAATGTGTAGCTGAATAATATAATTTCTTCTAATTGTAAAAATTATTAAGAAAATAAAGTATGAGCTGAGAGTGGTGGCTCACACTCTGGGAGGCCTGAGGCTTGAGCTCAGGAGTTCGAGATGGCAGTGAGCTATGATGGTGCCACTGCACTCCAACCTGGGTGACAGAGTAAGACCCTGTCTCTAAAAAAATAGAAACAAAAATAAATAAGTAAAAATAAAATAAAATATGGTGTTGCGGTAGTGAATGGAGGGGGCTGAATTGAGTCTGACCAAATCTTTGCAGAAGGCATCACCATCCAATGAATACTGAGAGATTTGGTGTCTATCAAGTAGACAGACACAGATGGGTACTGCACTCTTTAGTCTGTGCCTATGGGCTAATACATATGACTAGTGTCTACTATACATTAAGACTGCTGGATCAGGTGAAATCATATGAGATTATATACAGGAAACTCTTTTATAAAATCTATCCAACAACTATTTATTGTACACCTTCTATATGCCGGACATACATTAGTGAATAACACACACACACACACACACACACACACCCTGCTTGTGGTGTTTACAATCTATTTAAAGATAGAATATAATTATTCTTTTTTTTTTTTACAAAAAGGCAAACTTAAGGCTATAATTTCTGTAATGAAGCCATTTTAATTTGTGTTCTATTATATTGAAATTTCAAATATTTGTGAAACAAATGCTGCGTTTTATTTATTTAGAGGCATTTTCACCTGATGTTCTTATACCTTGCATAATTGCTTTATTCTGAATCAGGTTTGGTCACTAAGCAAAGTGAGGATTCTATTTTGACTTGATCATTCAGTATTTTGTGTTTCTAGCCTTCTGGTTTATCCTACAGTTTTATTTTGCAAAGAATTTGTCTATTTTTGAAGTTATTTATTATGGTATAAGCAGACATAAAACTATAACTTCTATATGCCTTATGGTTCAATCTGCTGCCTCAAAACAGCTATGTGAGTCTATTTATCTTTCCTACTTTCTAATGTATTTTAGCAGACCAAGGAATATTGGTTGAAGATGCAGAAACATACATCTTATGAGAAAATGGGTCGGCTTAACATCTTCAACTTTGAAATGGGCATGCGGCCCAAAACATTCACAGCAATAAAATTATTCCTTAACTTACAATGATTAATGAGAAGAAGGTGCCTCTTTACCTCAGCTAATTTCTACAGATGACAGAGCAAGTAGGAGAGAAGAAATACAACTTGCTCTGAGTTTTTTCATGACCCTAGTGAAGGTTAAAATAACAGGAAACTGATGGGTCATACAATGTCTATTTTCCATGAGGTGAAAAAACCTCATTTCACTACTTTATTAGTCCGTTTTCACACTGCTGATAAAGACATACCCGAGACTGGGTAACTTATAAAGAAAAAGAGGTTTAATGGACTCACAGTTCCACGCGGCAGGGGAGGCCTCACAATCATGGTGAAAGACACAAGACACATGGCAGCAGACAAGAGGGAATGAGAGCGAAAAGAAAGGGGAAATCCCTTATAAAATCATCAGATCTCGTGAGACTTATTCACTATCACAAGAACAGTATGGGGGAAACCGCCCCCATGATTCACATGTCTCCCACTGGGTCCCTCCCACAACACATGGGAATTAAGGAAGCTACAATTCAAGATGAGATTTGGGTGGGGCCACAGCCAAACCATATCAACTACCAACCTGCAAACTCTCACAGGCGAGTGAACTGCATTCAGGGTGCCCAGGCAAATGATATTCAGGGAGAAAATCGAATTGTTCTTAAAAATGTACCCTACAATGTGTGCTCATGATTTTTTTTGCGGTGAAAATGTAGTAATAAGTATAAAATTAACTCTGCATTCTAGGATTTCCTTAGAAAGTGCTCAGCTCCCCTAATTCTATGAGAACAAATAGCATTAAATTAGAAAAAGGAAGCAGAGGAAAATAACTAAGAAATGTGAGATACAAAAGTTAACACAGGAAAAGAAAAAAGAAAATATTAAAAGAAAGTATGACTCAAATCCCCCGTGGTTCCCCCACCAGTTCAACTAAAGTAAACAATGAACTATTGTGAAATTCTTCCTAATCTAATTTTTTAAATGGCTGACACATTCATGATAATATCTTGGATAGAACCTTTTGAGATTGGGAGAAATATTTTTTTGGAAATCTCATTGTGAACCGGCATTTTCAGATTCTGGCTGTGATGCTGCCTAGCCTCTAGATAAGGGCAAATGAGTGACTGTCAAAAAAAGAGAATCAGTGAAAAATGACTGGGTGGTAGTGACATAAGATAGAAAAATAGAAAAAAGATGAGCAGAAAAATAAATCTGACGAGGCTTTTTATATGAGACAATAGTACTTTTGTGTAGTTTTTTGTTTGTTTGTTTTTTAAAGAAATGTCATTTTCTAACCCTATGTGTCAAGATAGATGGCTACGTGTTGTTTTATTAGCCAGGTGTGGTGGCATGTGCTTGTAGTCCCAGCTACTCAGGAGGCTGAGGCAGGAGAATTGCTTGAACCTGGGAGGCGGAGGTTGCAGTGAGGTAGAGGCTGTAGTGAGTTGAGATCACGCCACTGCACTCCAGTCTGAGTGACAGAGTGAGACTTGGTCTCAAAAAAACAAACAAACAGAACAACAGCAGCAAAAAAAGATAGACTGCTATGTGTTGTTTTCTGCTTAGCTTATCTAGAACAATCAGGCAGGTGCATGCAAGATATTTTCCGCTATTTTGTGTGCCGTCAAATCTATTTTCTATCATCAAGAGATTATTCAACCCAAGGCACCTCTGACAGGCAGATATATAATTACAAAACATTATGTTTTAGCCTCCATAACATTAGTTTTGCTGATACCTCTATTACTGTGATAACCACTATATTGAAAAAGCACGGATTATGCCTGAGGACAGAGTTGTTGCTTCAGCAACTAGATTTGGAAATTAATCAATCTGAGGTTCTGTGAAATTTAATTTGGAAACTGCTGGCTTTAAATATGAATTTTGCTTTTTTTTCAGGGGGCAGCGAGTGAATTTTTTTTTACTCAAGGATAATAATTAGCCCTTGCCTGTCAAAGAAGGAAAATTCTGCTTCATTAATAGACCCAAGAGAGGAGGCTCTCTGAACTTGCTTTAACATCCAGCTGGTAGAGTCAGGATTCAGCAGAGAAACATCTGGGCTGCAAAGGGATTGAGGGCTTTCCTCCCAGGGACTAAAACACTGCTTATTGTAAAGATTTCTATTATATTAGGGTCAAGGAGAATTGAAAAATAAGAGGAAGGAATCATTTTTGGGCAGCCAGATTTTATTTCTCCTGTGGGCACATATGATGCTTGGGAATTATTATGTTAAGCATAAACTTAATAAATGCTTTTTCCAGTCCTCCCTATTATAATTATATATGCAAGAGAAAGGTTGCATGTTCACTCAAGGATAATGGGTTTCAGATTAAGGTGCCCTATCATCCAACAATTCAAAAGACGCTCCTGGACCAAACTCATTTCTATAAGAACATAGCAATGGGTTAAGGCAAATGGCAGTTTCAATGTTTTTCTCTTCCCTTCATTTTCTGGTTTGCTGGTGTAATGATGTCTGAGTACCTTAGTCAGTGCTGTCCAATAGAACTTTCTGTGATGACTGAAACGTTCTATACCTGCATTTGTCCACTATGGTAGCCACTCATCACATGTGGCTACTGAGTGTTTGAAATGTGTCTAGTGAGACTAAGAAATATATTTTAAATTTTATTTAATTTTAGCTGATTTAAATTTGAATAACCATATGTGGCTAGATACTATAGCATTGACAGAAAGATCTGAAGAGTGGAATAAAACCATTAATGACGCATTGATCTACACTGATTAGGCTTCTTCGATGCTAGCATTAGAATTATTAAAATGTCACGTAGTGTTGTCACTTCACAAAAATAAATTTTCTATGCCTTTTACTTTTTAAACCAAGAGAGGAACATGCATTTTCAGATCAGATGAGCGGTTCAGTGAATATGCTTTCATGAACAATTTTACTTCTCCTATTTGGCATAGGAAATTGATCTCTGAGTCATGTAAAGGGAACTCTTTGCTCCTGGAGAAGACACATCATGACACTCAGTGGTAATTGAACATGAATTGTCTGAAAGTTGCAATATCTCAGTTTTGTTCAGGATTAGACTTGCTTTCTTCAACAGGACAGGAGAACTGTCACTATTAGGTGAAGGGTATCAGGTGAAGTGTTCAGGCGCTCTGAACTTTTTGTGTTACAATTGTATTTGTTTAACAAGGGATGGACTTTTTGTATTGCAGTTGTAGTTGTAAAAGAAGTCAATAGTAGATATTTAATACTTTTTTCACTAATTATTCTTACAGTGAATTCTGTTATGTGATCTTTTGCATTCATGTATTAACTATGTTATGAGAGACGAAACATCAGCTCACATCAAGAACTGGAAATTTCTCTCTTTTAGGATGATAGATAGAACATACTCTATCTTGATCTCATATAGCTGTCAACACTTTTTCATAATAGATAATTTATAGCATGCTAACAAAAGATGCAAATATAAACGTGAGCTACTGAAATGAATTTCTATTCCTGTGAACTTTCATTATGCACTATGTAGGCATTATCTAGGTGTTAAAGGTTTCATTCCGTAATACATGAAGGTTGCATTTGTGTAAGCATGGTTGCAAAATGATAACAGCAAGCATTGTGGTGGCTAACAATTTGGCCTTCTTATCTTTATATTCACTGTCATCCTCATTCTCCCTGTTTCCAAAGAAGACACTGTCAGTGGTGTGCTGGAGTGTTCATGATGGTTGACCAGAGCTGACTGCATACCTTTTATCAACTCCATGTTCAGTGATACCATGTCGGGAGCTTGAAATTGGCCATGTTGGGAATATGTAGACCAAGAAATTGTCAAATGCTACAGATCAAGGCTGTTTTATTTTGGGAGAGATGGTTGTTAAACACTTAACAGCATACTACTAGATACAGAGGTGACCAGCTCTGTGCTAATTGTAATGGTGGGGACAGAAGCACCAGGGACAGGAGATCAGGGAGCTATTTCTTTTCTACTCCTGTCCCCTCATTTCCACTGAAAGTGTTCTATTTGCCAATCAGGTAGAAATAAAGTCTGAGTCAAAATGTTCCACAGTTGTCTGTATAGGCTTGATGGTAAGCTTTAAATAATTATTTAGGCCAGGTGTGGTGGCTCAGGCCTGTAATCCCAGCATTTTGGAGGCCCAGGCAGGAAGACAGCTTGAGCCTAGGAGTTCGAGAACAGCATGGGTAGCATAGCAAGACCTTGTCTCTACAAAAATACAACAAGTTAGCTCAGCATGGTGGTGTGTGCCTGTAGTTCAAGCTACTTAGGAGGCTAGGGCAGGAGGATCACTTGAGCCTAGGAGTTTGAGTCTGTAATGAGCCATGATCCTGCCACTGCACTCCAGCCTGGGCAGCAGAGTGAGACACTGTCTCAAAAAAAATTAATTAAAAAACAATTATTTGTAGGCCTCTTATATAAATACACCCCCCATTATGAAGAGTTTAAAGGAATTTATAATGAAAGTTGGAGCATCCCAAAGCTGCAGCCAAGCCTTGTCAGTGACCCATCTTATTTGGGACACTCTAGTAATTACAACCATTGCCAAATCCTTTCATGTAAATGGAGAACGTTGAGATGAAGAACTTAAACATGACTTTGCACTATAGCCATGCAAAGTAAACCCTGTGTGAGTTTATGGTGGGGTTTGACAACACATAGAAAAAATATGCACCCTTTTCAATCCTAAAAGTGAGCTCAAGTTCATTATACCATTTGTGGGGCTAAGGGCTCCTTTCTATTAGGTGTAGTTCACTACTGTCTTTAATTTTAGTCTTAATTCTGGGTCTATGTTTTTCTATCATTATACTTTCCCTCATTTCGAAGACTTCAATCTTTTCTTGACTCAGGAAATGAAAAGTGGATGAAGCTGGGAAAATTGAGGGACTGTAGGAAATTTAACGGATAGATTGTGAATATTTATGAATTATTTCACATCCTCTCTTCTGTTTCTTCCTTGTCAACTTTCTTCTACAAATGTTTTGCTAAGGTAGAAAGACCAATCAATTTCAATATGAAATATGTAAAATGCTGTCAGCCTAAAGAATTGCCCTCTGATAACATTACTTTTAGAGATGTTTCTAGACAAGAGGAGTAAAATTGCACTCAAGAGGTCTATGAGGAATGAGTTGTTATAGTAATACTTTTTACTAAAGGAACTTACTCATTTTTTCTTCTCTTTCCTCATTTTGAACTTTGTCCCACTTACTAAACTCTCTTGTGTTGTATTAGCGTTCTTCTCCTAATTAAATTAAAAAAAAAACCCTCAAAACTCATGTTCTTCAGAATATTTGGAGACAAGTTATCAGGAAAACTCACTTACCTTACCTAAATATATTCCAGAAAGATCTCATTTCCAGTGCTGTCCATTGAGAACCTTCCTAACATACTTCAGTACTTCCCATTCTGAGCTCTACAACTGTGGACAGTCATATAGTTTAAGAGAATTTGGGGGTGACAGTGTGTTCAGGGAGTTGCAGTGCCAAATTCTGAAAGCTGATTGCTTCGTTAGGGAGACTGGGAATGTTGGCAGCACTGAAATAACTTTTTCTTTTGGAAGGTTTGCTCCTTGCAACAATAATCTCACGTCAGGTGCAAATCAGCACATGGCAAAATAATAATCCTGGAATGCTGATTCTTTTGAAGGGTTGGAGGTAGGTAAGAGTTCAACTCCTCTTTCTCAAGTGGAAGTTCACACATTTGAGAAAGCAATCCACCTTTTGGAGAATATAGCAATAAAAACAAACAACCGTTTTTCAAGTAAAAATCCAAACAGTAACAAGTTTTCCTGCAGTGCTTCCTTTCAGAGCATGTCTTAAGAGACTAAAAGAAAGGCAGAAAGGAAAAGAATGAAAACAAAAATCTTTGACAACTTGCAAGACTTAAATAAAAGAAACCTGAAGATGCTCCGTATAGCAAATACTCAACAGATGCATGCTTACAAAACATTTCATGGTGTTCAGTTTGACTCTAGATATGCTGACATAGGAAGCATTAAAGTGAATGCTTATTTTTCTCACAACCACACTTCTTATCCTAACATCTAAATGGCAGTCAGAAATTCCTGGTGCTTGAACTCCAGTTGCTTTTTGGCTGAGTTTTTAAATTCTATAAGCCTTCTTCATATATATATATATATAACATAATTAAGATAACGATGATGCTTATTTCACAGGTTTATTTTGTCATTATTGTTTATTTTTGTTTTTACTTCCAAGCCATACTATGATTCTATTTACTTGTTTTCATATCTGTTGCCATTATCTTAGCCCAGTTGTCAATCATCTCTTACCTGGAACACTGCGATAATTTCCTGCTAGTCTTTCTCTTTCTCTCTTGATTTTCTCCATTTCTTGCACAGAATTTTATTTCTGGAAAAGAGAAGTAAAATTGCACTCAAGATGTCTACTAAAAATGAATTGTTATAGTAATACTTTTTACTAAGGGAGCTTACTCATTTTTTTCTCCTCTTTCCTCATTTTGAACTTTGTTCCACTTACTAAAATCTCTTGTGTTGTATCAGAATTTTCTTTCTCCTAATTAAATAAAAAAAAATCTCAAAACTGATATTCTTCAGAATATTTGGGGAGAAGGTATCAGGAAAACTCACCTTTCCTAGATATGTTCCAGAAATATCTCACTCCCAGTGCTGTCTGTTGAGAATCTTCCTAATATACTTCAGTACTTCCCATTCTAAGCTCTACACCTGTGCAAGTAAATTTCTGTGCAAGTGGGTAAGAAATGGAGAAAATCAAGAGAAAAAAAAACAGATCAGATTATTTACTTTCTCAATTAAAATAATTCAGCATTTTCCTTTTGTGGTTAGAATAAAATCTGAACTCTTTTTCTTGGCCTGAAAGGATTTAAGAGATCTTGGCTCTTTTATTTAATTTTCTCTAGGCTTTTGTAGTTGCCCCTTCTGCCTGGAATTTTTTCTTTTTTAATCTATCTCCAGTTCTTATTATGTGTGGCTCTTTGTCCTCTGCTGGGCCCACCTCAAATGATGGTCTTCCTTACTCCTTCATCTCACTTGTACACACCTAGCTATTGCCAATCTAACCACCATGCTAATTTTCTTTAGTGCAATATAAACTTACATTTGAACGTCGATTGCTTTCTTGTTTGTGTTTTATTTCCCCATAGGAATGTAGGCTTCATTGAGGTAAGGAAACATGGATATCTTGATCACCATCATATTTCCAGGGCCCAGTAACCACGTGGAATGTAGCTGTCATGCGCAATAACAACTAGGACATATTGAGAACTCACTCTGTGATAGGCCCTCTTCTAAGGGATTTATGTGCACAAACTCATTTGCCTCTCACAACTTGTGGGATAGGTATTATTTTTACCCTGTTTTACAGATAGGAATTTGAATATTATGGCCAAGGTCATTTAGTTAAAAATGGTAGCCTAAAGGAGAGTAGCTGCAGAGTTCAACTCTGTACTCGTTTTTCGAATCCTAATTAATATTTGTTGAATAAGTCACTGTTTAGTGAATTGTACCTGCCTAGCATTCTAACAAGTGTTAAAAATTAAAGCTATTATTCATATTATTTTATTAATATTGGAACCTTTTATTCTTATTGGCACGCTGTCTCAAAGCTGTAGTGATCAGGGTATGAGTTAAAGCTGTTAGAAAGTCGCACAAGTTGCTGACCAGACCGTGAAAGTTCTCCCAAGTTAGCTATCTATTCATAATAATTCTGTGGCAGACCTACCTGGAGTCAAATCAGCTGATTTGATAAGGCTATCTCAAACAGCCTTGTGGAATGTGAATCTTCATTTTAAATTTGAGAATCTAATGCTACTTGATGTTTCACAAATCTTACTTATAATCAATGTTACACTTCTATGGAAGCTATAAAACATATTTCGGTGACTGGAAGCCATTCAAAAGATTATCTAGAGATTTAATACTTTTAAATTGGAAGCAGAATAAGTTCAGGGGTTGAGCAACAGAGGGGAAACTCCAGGGCTGAGTCTTCATCTGATCCCCACCTCACTATCTTTTGTTGGTCTTTGCTCACGTCGATCAAATTTGACCTTTAATAAGAGACTTGAAACAACAAAAGGAGGTGAATACTCATTTAAAGTTTAAGTTGTTATACCAATTTGGACTAACAATGCATCCAAAAAAGACTAGTTAATATGCTGGAGATATGAAGCATGTTTGGACAGAATTCTGTTCACAGAGTAGTGGGGTTTCTCACCTTCACTCTAAGGGTTAGATAGGAAGTCCTGATCGTCTTGTCTCATGGAACTATTATGAAGATTTGAAAATAATAATACATGTAAGAAATTTGTGCAGTGCCAGACATATAGTAAATTATATAATTTTTCCAAATCGCCACCGCCCACCACTTTTTTTTGAGACAGGTGCTCACTCTGTTGCCCAGCCTGGAGTACAGTGGCACAATCACAGCTCACTGCAGCGTCAACTTCCCAGACTCAAGTGATCCTCCCACCTCATCCTCCTAAGTAGCTGGACTATAGATGCCTGTCAACATTCCCAGCTCATTTTTATATTTCTTTTTATTTATTTATTTTTTTTTTATTTTTTGTAGAGACAGGGTTTTGCCTTGTTGCCTAGGTTGGTCTCGAATTCCTATGCTCAAACAATCCACTTGCCTCAGCCTCCCGAAGTGCTGGGATTACAGCCATGAGCCACCCCACCTGGCCAAAAATATCACGAGGCCTTTTTTTCTTTTTTTTAAATTTGAGACTTCCTGGAAAACTAAATGAATGTGTGAATGTGTAGAGAATGACTCACTCTTATTAGTTTGTGCAGTAATACACAGGGTTGACTTACATATGTCAAGGCAGATAATGTAAGTCTTACAAAACATGGCGCAGTAACGACTCAAAGGACAGAAGCCCGGAGTAGGTACAGACTTGGCCTTCCTCTCAGAAGGGGCCTGGGTCCATCAGAGACAAATTCCTACCTATTCCTTTTCCCACTGGGATGAATTGTGGTTTCTGAGAAGCATTAACAATGTGTGCCAAACATAAGAGCTCAGAGGCAGCTGTTTAGGACTTGTTAGTTATCACTAGCTGCCATCACAAATGGCCATAAATTTAGTGGCCTAAAACAACAACACTTATGATCTCACAATTCTTTAGGCTGGACATTTGTTAGGCTCAGCTTGTTTATCTGCTGTGGATGCCGCAGAGCTGCAAGCTGAAAGCTATGGGGGAGAATCTGCTTTTAGGCTTATTCAGGTTTTAGCAGAATTCAGTCCTAGGTGGTTGTAGGACTGAAGTTTCTGTTTTCTTGCTCACTTTCAGCCAGGAGTCATTCTCATCTTTCATAACTGCCCAAGTTTCTTGACTTATGGACCTCTGTGTCTTCAAAGCCATTTACAGCATGTTGATCTCATGCCTCCTCTCTCCTGTCTGCTCTTCTGCTGCATCTCTCTATCTTCCTGCAGCCAGCAGAAGTTATCCATTTTTAAGATTTCATGTGACTAGGTTGGTCCCCTAGGATAATTCAGGATTATCTCCCTCTAATTGCATTGGCAAAGTCCTTTCTGCCTAATTGCATTGGCAAAGTCCTTTCTGCCAGGTGTATTAGTCTGTTTTCACACTGCTATAAAGATTCTACCGGAGACTAGGTAATTTAAAAAGAAAAGAGGTTTAATTGCCTCACAGTTCCGCATGGCTGGGGAGGCCTCAAGAAACTCATGGCAGAAAGTGAAGGTAAGCAAGGCACATCTTACATGGGCAGGAGAGAGAAAAAGCACAGGGGAAATTGCCAGTTTTAAAACCATCAGATCTCAGCCTAGTGTGGTGGCTCACACCTGTAATGCCAGAACTTTGGGAGGACAAGGCAGGTGGATCGCTTGAACCAGGAGCTCGAGACCAGCCTAGCCAACATGGTGAAACCCCGTCTCTACTAAAAATACAAAAATTAGCCAGGCATGGTGACCTGTGCCTGTGATCCCAACTACTGGCAAGGCTGAGACAGGAGAATTGCTTGAACCCAGGAGGTAGAGGTTTCAGTGAGCTGAGACTGTGCCACTGCACTGCAGCCTGGGTGCCAGAGTGAGACTCTCTTCCAAAACAAACAAACAAACAAACAAGCCAACAAACAAGCAAGCAAACAAATCAACCCATCAGATCTCCTGAGAACTCCCTCACTATCATGAGAACAGCATGGGAGAAACCACCTTCATGATCCCATCACCTCCCACCAAGTCCCTCCCTCCACCTGTGAGGATTACAATTCAAGGTGAGATTTGGGTAGGGACATAGAGCCAAACCATAACACCAGCTGAGGTAACATATTTACAGGTTCAGATGATTCTTGCTGTGTTCTTACACAGCCTTTCCTCTGGACTACACAGAGAGCAAGCAAGCTCTCTGATGTCTCTTCTTCTTCTTTATTTTTTTTAATTTTTTTTATATGGTATCTTGTTCTGTTCACCCAGGCTGGAGTTCAGCGGCATGATCTCGGCTCATTGCAACCTACGCCTCCCTGGTTCAAGTGATTCTCCTGCCTCAGCCTCCCAAGTAGCTGGGACTACAGGCATGCGCCACCACACCAAGCTAATTTTTGTATTTTTGGTAGAGATGGGGTTTCACCATGTTGGCCAGGATGGTCTCGATCTCTGGACTTTGTGATCTGCTTGCCTTGGCCTCCCAAAGTGCTGGGATTATGATGTCTCTTCTTATAAGGACTCTATTCCTATGTATCAGGGTATCACTTGTATGACCTTATTAACCTTAATTACTTCCTTAGAGACCCCATCTCCAAACACAGACTCACTGGGGGTTAGGGCTTCACCATATGGATTTTGGGAGGGACACGAATATTCAGGTCATAACATGGATGTTGAGTGGGCAATGGAAAAATAAGCCTGGAATTTGGGAGAGATGTCCAGACTGGAGATACAAATTATACATTTGGGAGTTATCTGCAGGTGCATGAGAATTATAATCATGAGACAGATGAGATTGTCAAGGAAAGAAATGCAGATAGAGATGGGACTAAAGACTGAGGCCTGAGGTTTTACAGTAGGTTTAAGAGAGAAATTGGAGACCAGGGATAAAGATGTCTCTTGAGGAGCTTTGCAGCAAAGGAAAGCAAAGAAATGTGGTACTATCTAGTGAAAGAGATGACATCAAGATTTATTTTTAAAGACTGAGCATTAATAGAATATAAACTAATAGAAATAATCCAGTAGTGAGGACAAATTGATGGTATAGCAAAGAGAGGAAAGAATCATCTAAGTGCTAACCTCATATCAGTTAAAGGGGATGGGTTATAGTGTACAATTCCAATAAGTCTCTTTGGAAAGGAAAGGGAATCTTTAATCTCAGGGAAAAGGTGGGAAGGCAGAATGGGTGAAGATGCTGGTTGGAGGGTCCATAGATTGTGGGAGTTCTTTTCTGATTGAATAAAGTAGGAAGCCAGATTGTCTGCTGAGAATGAAATGAGGAGAAAGTGTTGAAGGTTTGATGATGGGAGATAGTCGTCTTGAGAGAGTGGAGTATGAATGGAAAAGAGAAAGTATAATGTGGTTTCCAGAAGCATTAAAGGCTTGGTTCATGGTCATGAATATAAAGCAACTTAAATGAGGGTTTTTCTTTATCTGGATTCATCCACCCATGTGCAGGTGAGAGAGTAAGCAGAGAGTTGGATTTAACTGGTATGTGATTTTGCCAGAGAAAGACAAGGAAAAAGAGGAGTAAAGTCATCGAAGGTGTATGCAACAATTTGATGATAATAATTGCTGGTGGAATTTTGCCTGAGTAAAGTGGCCTGAGTAATAAAGAGGGCACAGTGTCTCATGCCTGTAATTCCAGCAATTTGGGAGGCCAAGGCGGGAGGATTGCTTGTGCCCAGGAGTTCGAGACCAGCCTGGGCAACATCACCAGACCTTGTCTCAATAAATAATAACAATAAAAATAAAACAGGGATGTAGAATGTAGGGGGTGTTCAAAATATCATGGTGGTGAGGATAATGGATTGGAAGTGCTGGTGAATTCTAAGGATTGTGTGAATTGGGGTGTTAGAGGAAGTGAGCTAGAAAGACCCAAGGTGGTAATAAAACAGTAGGAATCTTGACATTGAGATTGTAAAGAAAATGCTGTTATTGCTAGTGACAAAGTCTGAAATGGCCATGGGAATGACTGTAAACTCATAGGTTGTATGTGTTTGCGCATGTGTGTGTGTGTGTGTGTATGCGTGTTTTAATATGCTTTGTGGAAAGAAAGAGTAGTACTGTATCACCATAGCAGGGGGTATTGAACCTATGTAGAATTTCTAGAAGGCAGGTAATAAGAAATAATACATGATCCTACCTCATCTCTATTAAAATATGGCTTTGATGACTGGTAATGATTTTTTAAGAGTTTAATATGAGAAAGTGATTCATGGTTGATGACAGCAGTTCTGAATCTGTAAAAATGCAGAACTTTGAAAAGTGTCTTCATCTCAACTAACTTTGAAATATATATATATCTATTTTTTCTTTTTTTTCAAAGTTTTGAAATGTGTGGTCACTGTGCAGCTCACTGCCCATCTGGAACCTACTCAATTCATAGACATTTTCAATCTGGTTTCTAGGCAGTTCTCTTTGCAATGAAGCAGTACCTCCATGAATACAAAATGATTTATGGATAAACTAGAACCATAGCTTTTCTGCTCTTCTTCTGACCTTTTAGAGTCAAAAGCAAAATCCAATATCACAGACGACAAATTTTTATAGGATCACGGCATGACCTGGAATTACTTTCATTGCACATAAGTAGTTGCACTCTGATCTAGAAAATCATAGTTTATTCAGATCAATGGCTTTTCATTATTTCTTGCTTGATATTATAGGTTTAAGTTCAACTTTAAATACATCTCATTTGTTAGAAACGTGTGGGTTTCTAATGTGTGCTGATGACTTTTAATATTACTTCAATAATCTTTTCATTTCACTGAAATATGTTTGTAGTGATTATATTGTTCAGACAAAAGAACAATCTCTGAGGTACAATTTGATTCAATTATCTGCAACCTCTTGCTGATGGCATTTCATTTAAAAATGTATTTAGTTGTTTATTTGCATTTTTATACATTTATATTCCTTCCAGATTACATAAAAGAAGTAAGGCAGCTTATGACAGTCTGTATTTGTTATGGAAACTTCTTTGCTTTCTTTTTCCATTAAATCCCCATCAGTGTTTATTTGCCAGCTAGGTTTAGACAGACTTCTCTACTCCTTAACTGTACTTGCAGATAGAATTCCTTGCTTCCTGAGGCTTCTAAGACAAGTTCTGGACTCATGATTTCAACTTTCTTTGTGGTCCTTAGCATTTAGTGCCAGCTAGGCTAAACTTGGTAACAATACCCCACAGGTAAAAGGGGTACCACATTTATGTTTATTTATGCCATCATGTAATATGTGAGACTGAATATGAATAAGTACTGGAATGAGCAAATCAGGTAAGCCAAGTGATACAGGAATTTAATAGAGAATTAGGATTTGGCAGGGATGTTTCTTTGTTTTTATTTGTTTTGAGAGGATATTTAATTTTTAGGGTCTTCTCAAATCCTAAATATCAGAAGCTAGAAAGTCTTTCTTTGGACTTGGAAACTTTGTATACTCTTCTTGATGACAGTTGCAAGTGCTTTTGCAACTTTTTGACCAGATTTCTGGTTTTGGTCTCAACTTTTTGACCAGATTTCTGGTTTTGGTCTCAAAAAGCAGTAGGGTGGGAAAGAAAAGAATACAGTATGTGAAAGAAAAATTTTAACTTTTTTTTCTTTTGAGAAGGTTAATACTAGCTTCTATATGAATGTTTCAGACTGCTTAAATTTCTCAAGTACTTTCTCCACTAACCCCTTATCGTCTGATATTTTCCCCATTAACTTTCTCTTCAGTGATTTAAAGCTTTATTCACAGTTAAAATACAAATGCCTGTAATTCATGTACCCAATTATTTCAGGCAAGCGTTATATGCTTTGCAACTCCTAGTCCTCAGGGCAGGTTTTATAAGAGATCTGGTAGGAAGGGTGATGATGGAAACCACTCACTCTCACTTTCTTACAATCAAACTTTCTCCTCACTTGTACTCACTATATTTATGCCTGATTGTTTCTCTTACTCCCTCCCTCTTTTCTTTCTTCCCTTTTTTCCTTGCTTCTTCCTTCTCCTTTCTTTCTCCTTTCTGCTTTTCCTGACTAAAAATTCCTGTTGAACTAATTCAGTTGTGAATTTCAGAAAAATTTCCAGGATATGTCTCAGTTTTTTTTTTTTTTGAGACGAAGTCCTGCTTTTTAGAAGCAGAAAACTAATGATATAATATTTCTAAGATTCCTGATTTAATTTGGAAACAAATTTTAAAAGAAAGTTATCTACAATATCAAGCAGTAATTTGATTTTTATTGTTATTATCGAGACAGAGTCTCTCTCTGTTGCCCAGGCTGGAGTGCAATGGTGCGATCTCGGCTCACTGCAATCTCTGCCTCCTGGGTTCAAGCAATTCTCCTGCCTCAGCCTCCTGAGTAGCTGGGACTACAGGTGTGCGCCACCATGTCCGGCTAATTTTTGTATTTTTAGTAGAGACGGGATTTCACCGTGTTGGCCAGGATGGTCTTAAACTCCCGGCCTCCCACAGTGCTGGGATTACAGGCATGAGCCACGGTGCCCGGCCCATGTCTCAGTTTTGATAATTCTTTCTCATAATCAGTTCATTTTCTCAAACATCGTAGGCTCATTTAATTGGTGGACCCATTTTTTCCCTTGCTCCTCATGGAAATTTTCTTGTGATATATAAAAATGAACTGTTTTCCCTATTCCATTTATAGAATAGAACACAAGAATTCCCCAGAGGGAAGAACAATTGATTTTCTTTTGCTGGATCCAAATTATTTGTCTGATCTACCTACTAACTCTCTTCTAAGCGATTAGTAGTGTCTGTCTTTACTCTCTGCATTCGTTTGTCCTCTAATTCAATATTTGGCCCCATATGTTGTTTTCTGCTATTTTTATTTATTTATTATTTTTGTTAGAGTGTTTTTATCCAGTTTCTCTTTTTTTAAAAAAAAAAACTTTGCAATCTTGTTTTTCCCCTTCCTTCTGTTGTCTTATCCTTTTAGTGAGTGTCTTATTTTATTGATTTCACGTTGCCCATGAGTTCTTCTAAAATACAAATGACTCATTGTGGAGACTTTTTCCCACTATTCTTTAAGTAGTATTTAGTTCCATAATTGATTCTTCCTTTTTGTTCCTTGTCTTTAAAAAATATTTTGCTTATCTTTTTATTTTTATTTAATTTGATTAAAATTTAAAAATAGAATAATTATACTTTTCTTGTAATTAGAGAAAACTACAGAGGTGTATAAAGAATTTCTTTTTGTCTCCCCAGCCTCAAGGTTACTATTGCTGATAGTTTCATGTACATATTTCCACATTTTTCTATGTGCTATTAAATATGCTTACTAATACATATTAATATATATATGCACACATAAACACACACATAGCATACAGATGTATGTAAACTTACACATATGCTTTTCTATTTCTGTCAAAATTAGGGTCCTACTCCATATGCTTCTTTGAATTTCAAAAATTTATTTTTAAGTTTTACAAATTAAATTCTGTCATTTGCTTGTTTGAAATTTGCTTCTTCGAATTTATCTTTTAAAAATTTGCTTCCTTCAATTTAATAATCTGTAATAAATACCCTTTCAAACCACTCATCTAACTCATTTTTTAAAAATAGCTGCTTAATAGTCTATTTTATAGATAGATAGGCTATATTCAATTATACTTTTTTTGAGACAGAGTATGGATTTTTGGGTAATGGTCTTGTTTCTGTTACTGTATACTATATACTTTTTTGCTTTAGTAGATAGTAATGTACAGATATTCTTATATACTAATGCTTTTATATCCGTTGAATTAACTCTAAAAGGGGAATTACTGGGGCAGAGGGTATGTGCATTTACTTATTGGCAGATACTATTGGATTGAAAGCTCATAATACTTCATTCTTGCATCAACATTGCATGTGAGCGCCCATTTCCACGTCTATTGGCCAGTTCTAGATGTTATAAAATTTTATTTTTGCTAATATTATGGATAAAAAGAAGATCTCTCCTAGCTAGTTTGATTTGCATTTCTTAGGCTGGAAGTGAGAATGAGCAACTTTTCAAATGTTTGCTGGCATTTCCTCTTCATAAATTACCTCATTATGCCCTTCCTATTTTTCTATTGAGTTGTTTGTCATTTATATCTAGATCTGTATTTGTTCCTTGGGCATAAATTCTTTTTTCTGCGTGTTGCATGTATTATTCTCCTAGTCTCTGCATACCTTTGAACTTTATTTATAAAATATTTTATCTTAATTTTATTTTTATTTGTAATACTGTGAACTCATGAAAATTGTTCTCTGTGGAATTAAATATTATGCCTTAATCATATGTTCTCTCATACAGTTTGTATTTATTTTTATTCTTTAATTTTTGAGACAGAGTTTTGCTCTTGTTGCCCAAGCTGGAGTACAATGGTGTGGTCTCAGCTCGCTGCAACCTCCGCCTCCCAGGTTCAAGTGATTCTCCTGCCTCAGCCTCCCAAGTAGCTGGGATTACAGGTGCCCACCCCTACACCCTGCTAATTTTTGTATTTTTTAGTAGAGACAGGGTTTCACTGTGTTGGCCAGGCTGGTCTTGAACTCCTGACCTCAAGTGATTCACCCATCTTAGCCTCCCAAAGTGCTGGGATTACAGGCGTGGGCCACGACTCCCAGCCCAGTTTTAAACTTTGTTAATTTTTCCCTGAAATTTCTAATTCTTATGCCTTTAAAAGTTCATTCTATCTCTTTTCTAATTTTTAATCTCTTCTAACCTGTCTCATCTATGGCACTCCCCTTTAACCCTAGGACCTCTCTTCTGAAGTCTTCTTTTCTTCTGTTCTTCCTGTATGGATTGATTTCTATCCACCTGCTGCACCACTGTTAATGTTCTCCCCTTTATTGTCTTTTGCTTTGACTTCACTACTGATCTTTCTTTTCCTGATACTGTTTGGTTTGCTCCTCACTTGGCTGGGTGGTATCCTCAACCGACTTTCTAAGTAAAGTGTGTAAAATGTAAAATTTAGGTGCCCTTGTTATACCTGAAAATGAAATATTACTTTACCTGTGTAATTTATAATTTTAGCTGGGTAGACAATTTTAGGTTGAAAATGAATTTTTTCTTCATTGTCTTATGATACCCAGTGATTATACTTAAACGTTAAATTTAAGTATAATTCTTGTTCCTTTGTATGTGACTTGTTTTAACTTCCTACTCAATGTCTTATGGAAGATGAGAACATATTCTCCTTATCCTGTTCTTAAATTTTACTATGAGATGTAGAACTTAAAAAAAACCTACATGGCATTTGCTAAGTTGTTTAAATTTTAAAATTTATGTCTCTTTTTAACTTTTGTTAAATTTCTTGCATGCATTAAAAAATGTTTCACTTCCTGTTATGGACTGAAGTGTTGTCTCCTTCAAAGTCATATGGTGAAGCCATAACCCCTTCTCTGACTATATTTAGAGATAAGGCCTTTATTGAGATAAATAAGATTAAATGAGGTCATAAGGGTGGGGCCCTAATCTAATAGGATTGGTGTCCTGATATAAGCAGAGACATCATAGCTTGTTCTCCCTCTCTGTGGACATATAGAGAAAGGCCATGTGAAGACAGAGTGTGAAGGTAGCCATCTGCAAGTCAGGATAAGAGGCCTCACCAGAAACCAAACCTACTGGCATCTATATCTTGGGTTTCAAGCCTCCAGAGCTGCGAAAAAACAAATTTCTGTTGTTCAAATAAATCCCATAACTGTGGGATTCTGTTATGGCAGCCTGAACTCACTAATATGCTTCCTTTCTCTCCATTTTCTCTGTTTCTCTTTTGGGAATTTCCATTCATTGAATCTCGTACCTCCTGGAGAAATTGTCTGTGTCCTTTATCTTTTCTTTCTTATTTTCTATCTCTTATTTTTTGATAGCACATTTCCATGGTGCCTTGATTTTACCTTCTAACGCTATTAAATTAATAGTTTTGAAATTATCTTTCCCATTTCTGCGAACTTTGCTTTCTGATGATTCCATTTTATTCTCAAAATCCCCTGAGTAAATAATGACAATACTCTAAAAGTCATGGTTTTGCTAGGCAATTAGTTTGGTAGTTCTTTTTTTTTTTTTCTAGGGTTGTTTTTACTTTTGTTTATATTGGAGTTTTTTCCCCCCACTTTATGACATATTCAAATAATTATTCAGCAAAGACTTTTTAGCTCTCATTGTGTATCAGTACAGACACTGTGGTAAACAAAAGAGACAACCGTGCTCCTGGAACTTGTATCCTTGAGCAAGAGAATGATAATATATGAGTATTAGTATGCAAATAAAAATAAGCATACTAAGTATATATAGCTTTAACATAAAGGCAATTGCAACTATGGGAGTTTTCCATGGGATAGAGAGTCTGGGCAGTCAGGAAAGACTTCTCTAAGGAAACCGAGACCCAAATGAAAAAATACCGGGCAGAAAGAAGAACACTTCCAAATGTCGTGAGGTTGGAGTAGTCTTCGGAAATCTCTAATGAACCCAAGACTAACGTGTTTATAGTAGTGTGAGAAAGAGGACAATGACCTGAGATGAAGTAAGGGAAGGTGGCAGGGACAGTAACACCTATGGCTTTGGGAAAGGATTTGGGTTTCATTTCGAGTGACAAAGAAAAATTCTGTTGGATGGACTCCAGGGGCATGACAATTTTTTTTTTTTTAGTTTTAGAGATGAGGCCTCACTCTATCACCCAAGCTGGAGTAAAGTGGTGCTAACATGGCTCAGTGCAGCCTTGAACTCCTGGGCTCAAGTGATCCCCCATCTCAGCCTCCTAAGTAGCTGGGAGTAAAGACATGGCCATCACACCTTGCTACTTTATTTTCATTTTTATTTTTTGTGTAGACTGGGTCTTACTCTGTTGCCCAGGCTGGTCTCAAATTCCTGGCCTCAAATGATCCTCCTGCCTCAGCCTCCTAAAGTTCTGGGATTACAGACTTGAACTACTGCGCCTGGCCTAACAAGTTTTAATTTACATTTTAAAAAGAAAACTCTGGCTTCTCAACAGACACTCCATTGTAGAAAATCAGAATGAAAGCCAGGGATAGTGGTAGGGAAGTTAGTTGTGGGAATCTAGGTAAAAAATTACATTGGTTTGAATTTTAGTGGTTTCAGTGGAGCAAGGAAAGCTGGCTTGGTGTGGGATAGATTTTGGGGTCAGAGTTGACAGAACTTGCCTTTGGAATGAGGAAAAACTCACTGGTTTTGGCTTGAGCAGTTGAGTGGCTGGTTTTGCCATTTTATTTACTAAAATAGAATAGAGTGGGGAAGAGATTCGGTGGGTGGTAAAAGTTCTTTGCTTTTTGAGTTTTGAGAAGCATATGAAACAGGCATTGTGACATGGATTTTGGTGATACCAGCGTATCTGTGGTACTTGCAACAATGGGATTTATTTCGTCCATAGAAAGGGAGACTCAGTAGAGAGCCTGACGGGGATTTCTGGGTATGTGGGTGGGGCTAGTGGTCGGCCAGGCTTTGTTCTAGTGAGAGTAGACTGGGAGCTGGTCTGAATTCCAGAGCACTAATGCCAAAGTGCAGAGGACCTCAATGAGTGTCAATACTAGTTCTAGCTGTCCTAGATGTCTGCAGATAATTCATTCTACTCTTATATAATTATTAGCAAAGGCTGTTTATTTCTCCCTGGAGTATGAATGTTTGGCTCCTGGCACTCTGCATGCAATAAATTTAAGTCAGTATTGGTTAAAAATCTTTTATAGAGACCTTTAACCCAGGCTCTCATGCTCAGTTTCTTACTGTCATGGTCTGTTAGATCATGTAGCTGATGCCCAGATCTTTCTGAGGTTTCCGATGAGCAGGCTGGTGGTCTCCATTGCTATAGGATACTGCTTTTTTTCTGACTCCTGCATGAAATACTTTCAGTCTTCTGGAACTTGGTTGAATTATGCCATTCCTTTCTCTTTATTGTTCTTAAATTATAGCTTTGTTGTGCTCCTATCGTGATTTTATCAAGATTGCAGAAGGAAGAGACAGAAGCACAGGTATAAAGTCTGCCATCTTGAAATGGAATATTTTTATTTTTAGGTAGAGGAAAATGTTTGTCCTATACAGAGTTGGTTCTTCAGGTTTTTAAAAACATTTATTTATCTTTATTATTTATGAAAATTTTTCATAGTTTACATTCCATTTCATTCAATTGCATCAACATTAATGTGAGCAGCTCGTCATAGAATTTCTATGTAATGATTCAGTTCTGTTAGACTGTTTCCTCATGTTATTGGAGACATGATAGTCTTGCTCTTGGAGCTCCAGAATGGTTTCTGAAGAGCTGGTATAGAGGCTCACCTAGAGCTGTGGGCAGTCTTCAAAGGTGTACTTGTCTTTTCTTCCCTTTTTCCTTGTCAACTAAATATTGTTTGGTCCTGCAAATTTTCACTTCGTTTAGCGACTATGACCGCTAAATTTGACATTGTAAAGGTAGGATTCTTTTTTGATTAATCTGTGTATCCCCAAATAATCTGACCCTGAACTGTAAACATAGGAATTCAAGAAAGGCTTGATGAAATGAATAGTTGAAGGGAATATTTTTCTTTCCTCCTTCTACTAACTATACTTTTTACTCATTCATTCAAAAAATATGCACTGAATAACTAATGCATTCCAATCTCTGAACACTGTTATATGCTGGGATGCAGAGCCATACAAGGCCTCCATGCTTCCTAGAAATTAAGGGATGTTGCACACATCATCTTTTGTTTTGTACTCTGTTAAATATTTGAAAGTATCTTCTCCCCAGTAGAAAGGTCGTTCAGGGTGAAAGTTATTTCCTGTATCTATTTTGGTACTCATTCCCTTTACAGGTCAAAAAATACATGGGCATTACTTATAGATACATGGTCCTTCCTGGACTGTGTTCTCCTCCCATCACAGATTTTAAGATGCTTAGTCCCATTAGGCTCCATCTCCAACATTGGTGATCAAATATCAATGTGAGGTTTACAGGGACAAACATCCAAACTATAGCAGTGAGTAACAGGTGGTATCCAGGTTTCTATTGCCAGTTTAGTTGTCCTCTCCTTGACAATTTGCCCTGCCCTAGATTTTTATCTTTCTTTTCTTGTGAAACATACAGAAGACCTACTTATACTTCTTTCCATCTCTCTTTCTTAAAGTCATGGTCATCGGTCTCTTAGGTATGTTTCTTCAACACTTTTTAAATATTAAGTGTTCAAAAATGTTGTTGAATTAAATATCATCGTAGAGATGGTATATGAGGTGGTGCCTGGAACAAGGTTGTAATTTGTTTTCACTTGAACAGTGTTCGGGTGGGACAAGGCAGTTTCAGTGTTTAAGGAAATAATATTCAGGTATGGAAGAAATGAAGGCTGGGTTTGGGAGTGATCTCTCAACATGTTTGAGTAGCTCTTTCCATTTTCTTGAGTCAAGCGCAGAAGACCAAGACAAGAAAACACAGTGTGAGTGTCTTAGTCTGCTTAGTGGTGCTATAAAGGAATACCAGAGGCTGGGGAATTTATAAAGAAAAGAGATTTATTTGGCTCGCAATTCTGCTGGCTGGACTATTGGGCATCTGGTGAAAGCCTGAAGGTGGGCTGCTTTCACTCAAGGCAGAGTGCAAAAGGAAGCAAGCTGTGCAGGGATTACATGGCAAGAGAGGAAGCCAGAGAGGGGTAGGGGAGGTGCCAGGCTATTTTTAACAACCAGCTCTGGAGGGAACTAATAGAGCAAGAAATTACTCATCCCTGCCTGATCTAGGTGGGGGAGATCAGTCTATTCAGGAGGGATCCTCCCCCATCACTCAAGCACCTCCCATTAGACTCTGTCTCCAACATTGGGGATCAAATATCAACTTGAGGTTTACAGGGACAAACATCCAAACTATAGCAGTGAGTAACAGGTGGTATCCAAGTTCTGTTGCCAGTTTAGTTGTCCTCTCCTTCTTGACAATTTGCTCTGCCCTAGATTTTTATCTTTCTTTTCTTGTGAAATGTACAGAAGACCTACTTATTATCTAATTGCTTTTGTTTTTGCACTGCTGAGAAATTGCGTGTGTGTTTATGTCTTAAATTTTTATATTTTTATGTTTTTTCTGAATTTAAAAAATAGTGGTAAACGTGGGGGCAGGTCTTGAGATAATTATTGTATAGATTATGTCACTATGGCATGTATGTTTATATATAATACAATATATACATAATACAATATGATGTAAAATAGTGTAATATAGCACAAAATAATGCACAGAATCCTTCCTGCCTATTAAATGAGGAAGAGCTCAAATTTAATTCTGCCCAAAGTCTTCCTTGAACGAATCTCTGTAGATCATCTCTCTCACCATCTGTAATATGTATTTGGCACTTAATTACACTAGGCAGTTTATGATATCTGTTTAAATATTAAAGAATTAATAATAGTAGATATTATGTACTGAGTGTTCATTATGTGCTAGGCACAGTAACAGACAAACCCAGATGTATATTTCCTGTAGGGAATAACAATGTATTTGAGGTCGTTGTATCCCCATATCATAGAATCTGTATACAAAAATGAACATTGAACAAGATGGGTCATGCCTGTAATCCCAGCACTTTGGGAGGCCGAGGTGGGTGGATCGCGAGGTCAGGAGTTTGAGACCAGCCTGGCCAACATGGCAAAACCCCATCTCCACTAAAAATATGAGCATTAGCCGGGCATGGTTGTGGACGCCTGTAGTCTCAGGTACTTACTTGGGAGGCTGAGGCAGGAGAATCACGGAGGTTGCAGTGAGCCGAGATCATGCCACTGCACTCCAGCCTGGACGACAGAAGGAGACTCCTTCTTAAAAAAAGAAAATAATATTAATAGTAATCAAAATATTGTAGATAACTGTCTTTTAAAAATTTGTTTTCAAATTAAATCAAGGAATTTAGAAATATTATATCATTAGTTTTCTAAAGTAGTTGAAAATACAAATAATTTTGAATTTTACTTATTAGAGAAAAATTTGAATTTTACTTATTAAAGAGCCAGAACTTAAGCACGACTAGTCTGCTGTGTATTCTTGAAATAGAATAATAGTAATTGATAACATTTATTGATTACTTATTGTCTGGTAGACATTGTGGTAATAAATAACTTTGAAAGATTAGCGCTTTTAATATTTGTTACAATTCTATGTGATAACTATTCTTATTATCCTCAATTTCAAATAAAGAAATTAAACCTCTCTATGCTAAGTTGTCAATGAAAATATAGTATTCTGATTCTGTGTTTGTGTACTTTATTTTTTTTTGTCAGCTATGGTATTTGCTGTAATGTAATGTACAGCTGACTATGTTTCTATGAGAAACTAAAGAAAAAATACATAGGGGAATATATATTCTTAATAGTATATGACTTCTTTAGAAGGACAATTTTGTTTTGTTTTTGTTTTTAATTTTCTTTATTTAGAGACATATTCTCACTCTGTTGCCGAGGCTGGAGTGCAGTGGCACAATCACTGCTCACTGTAGCCTCAACCTCCTGTGCTCAAGGGATCCTCTCATCTCAGCTTCCTGAGTAGCTGGGATTGCAGGCACGCACCAGCATACTGGCTAGTTTCTGTATGCTTAGTAGATAACATGAAATTTTGCCATGTTGCCCAGCCTGGTCTTGAACTCCTGGACTCAAGTGATTTGCCTGCCTTGGCCTCCCAAAGTGCTGGGATTACAGGCATGAGCCACTGTGCCCAGCCAAGAACAATTGTTGATTGAGGAACTACATCAATATAACAACTGATAAGGGGGCTACTTTAGAATAAAGGGATACCATGGTAAGGTTATAGAATTATATTAATTAATTCATTGTCCCATTCAAGATTAAGCTACTGCAACAACAAAGTTGATACCAAAAAATATCACAAACTAATGCAAATGTTAGTGTGTTAAATTTGTATAAAATTAAAATAAATTTTACATCTGATCAAATGAAAGCAAGCTTACCCATGGATGAAGTGAAATAACTTTTATACAATAAGGTTTAGTAGGAATTTGTTGATCTAGAATATTAACATGTGGTTCTGCTTATTAAGGACTCTGTTCCTCTTTGATTTATTTCCTCCTCATTTTTACTGTGGGTAACTGAGTATGAGAAAGTCATGATACCTAGGATTTTAAAAAGTTTATTTGAATATACTGAGAACTTCAAGCATAGCTACACTTCTTTTTGGCTTCACAGTAAAGTATTAGTTAACCATCATAGCGTCCTAGAGATTTCGGATCAAATATTATTCTCACTTTGCAGGCTGCTTTAGGCACAGACAAGATAACTGTCTTATCAGAGATCGTTAGCAAGCCAGGGGCAGAGCAGGAATTAGAATGTCAAACTCTGGATGCTTCATCTTGGCTTTAGTCAAAAGATTCTCACCAACTCCTGGGCAAACCCCATGGCAAATCGGGAAGCAAAGGTGGAACCAACAATCAGTGATACCTGAGTCTGCTTGAGGCTCTCACTGTGAATTTCTACGTGTCTTGGGGTTGTTAAGGACTCAGGAGCCCATAAACTAACCTCCAGATGATAACATAAACAATCTATTTTTTCAAGTTCCTATAATTCTTTGAGCTGACAGCCTCATCTCCCTAGTTAACTGCCAAAGGCTAGTACTGTGCTGAGCTTCACCATGAAAATTTTTATCACTGTAGAAAACATCTGAACAAAAATAAAATGATATTTTTGTCTTCAGTTAAACCTGCTCTGTGTATTCTAGAAAAGTGCAATGCTTACTGAAAAATGTCTATCATTTCTACTATATATTTCTTAAAAATGAGTCTATATTAGGTATAAAAAAGATGTAAATCAGTTAAGTAAAATTCAGCAAAACTGGAAAGCTAAAGTGAGATGATAAAAGACTGGAGGCAAATTTACAGTTCCAAAATATTTATGGCTTTACATTAAAAACTAAAAGCACTACTGAATAGTGTGCATATTGAAAACAGATGCTCACATTCTGAAGTTTTGGTTTTTAAGGAACGTTATGAAAACATATATTGCCCAATATTTTCTTCTTATAGGCAAAATGGCAAATTTGATTTGTGAATTTGTCAGTTGTAATAAAACAGATTATAACATAATCATTGTACCTAATAAGTAATATGACATTCTAAATTCTTTCTAAACTCCAAACATTACTAAAATCATGTGGAGAGAAGCTTTCAGAGCCACAAGGAAGGCACTAGGGCTGATATACTATAAATCCATCCAAAAGGGAGAGAGGAAATTAAAAGTATTATTTTTATTTAGGTAGAGAAAAGACAGAAAATTTGGAAGAAAATACATCAGCGTATCTTAAGCCAGAGTAAGCATTTTGTTGTATTTTATTTAATATTTTTCTACCCAAATACATGTGTTTTTGTAACAAAATCTCTCTGCATATATTGCTATTGTTATTTTATTTAGTAATGTGTTGTGATGACTCTCTATATTTTTCACTGTTTTGTGAATGTGGTTTTAAACAGCTATATCTTAGTCCATCATTTACGGTACTATAATCCATTTAGTTAATTTTGTGTATCTGAACATTTGGATGTTTCCAATTTTTACTTGTTAGAAATAACGTAATGATGATTAAGTATGTGTTGAAATTTATGTGCATGTGTTTGATAATTAGGAAGTTTTGTTGGGTCTGCCTTTATTATTTAATTCTTTTGATTTATCCTTTAAGTGGTTAAAATTTGATGTTTAAATTTTTCATATTCAAAAATAGAATTAATATATATTTGAGTTATTGCATATTGGATGTTTTCCTTTAACCTTTGTGTATAAGAAACATGTTATGTATGGATTTCTTGGTTTATAATTTTTGCTACCTCAAACTCTGTGGATGTTGCCAATTGCTTCTTGGAATTTCTTGCTATGGAGGAGTCTGACATTAGTCAGATCTTTTTCTTTATCAGCAAACTTTTCTGCCTAGTTGAAAACAAATCATTGGCTTTTTTCTTTACCCTTGAATTTATGAATTTCAACAGGATCATTTCAGGCTACTGTTGTCATTAATGTTTCCTGTTAATCACATCCATAGACTCAAGCCTTTCTTTCGCGTAGGAGTATATTCTCCTGTTATAATTCAGATTTATTAAATTTCTGTTAAAACTGTTTCTTTTCATGAATGCATATTATGTTACATATCATTTCGCTGTCAACCATGTCTACTTTTTCTTCTGTCATCATTTTAATCTCTGCTCATTTCTCATATATGGGAGGCAGCTGCTCAAATGTACACATTACTATTCAATTTTCAGCAGTGTTAGCTTTGTTCTTCAGTGAATCTAATTTTGAGTAATTCTAATTTCGTGAAGATACTAATTTTACCATTTTACTTTTAATTTATTTCCTTTTTATTTCAACTCACCTCCTGTATTAGTCCATTCTCACACTGCTAAAAAGACATACTTGAGACTGGGTAATTTTTAAAGGAAAGAGGTTTGTTTAATTAACGCACACAGTTCAGCATGTCTGGGGAGGCCTCAGGAAACTTACAATCATGGCAGAAAAAGAAGCAAACATATCCTTCTTCACATAGTGGCAGCAAGGAGGAGTGCAGAGCGAAAAAGGGGTAACGCCCCTTGTAAAACCATCAGATCTCATGAGAACTCACTCACTATCACAACAACAGCATGGAAGTAACTGCTCCATGATTCAGCTACCTCCCACCAGGTCCCTCCCATGACACATGGGGAATATGGGAACTACAATTCAAGATGAGATTTGGGAGGGGACACAGCCAAACCATATCACCTCCTAACCACATTTCTCTTCATGTCAGTATGTTATCTCATTCGTTAGCTCTTATTTCACAGGTCTACACTATGAATTTTATTGTGAACAGAAGACTATTTCTAAAATTTCATTTTCTGTAGTGTTCTGTAAGAAGTCCATTCTTGAAGCTAGGTTCTTTAATGTTAAAGAAAAAATTTCCAATCTCCAACCTTTGTTTGCATTTTTTATTCATTTTCTGAACAGGAAGAAAATCCAGCCTGGTTGTGACTAATAAACAGAGATGTTGTGTTGGTTGGAATTGCTTTTGGCTGAGGAAAGAAAAAGTACCACAGTGGCTTAACCATACAAAGTCCTTCATTCTTACATGACCAAAGTCAAGAGCTAGGTAGCCCAAAGCGAAGCGAACACGACCGATCAAGAAAGTGGCTGAAGTCCAGGGCTTCTTCTAGTTTCCCAACCTCCAGCCCGAGTGTGACTTTAATGGTTGCAAAATGGTGCACCAACTCTAGGCATCATGTCTATATCACATCTGTATTGAAGAGGGGAAGGGCAAGAGACAAAGATGAGAGTCTTTGTTTTGTTTTGTTTTGTTTTTGAGATACTGTCACCCAGGCAGAAGTGCAGTGGCCCGATCTTGGCTCACTGCAAACTAAAAGTTGCTCCACTCAGGACATTTCTGTTTTCATTTCATTTCTAAGAACTGTGTCATGTGGCTACCCATAGCTGCAATAGACATGTGTATTTTTCATTGGTGCTAATCCTCGTGTTCTCATAAAATTGGGATTAATTGATAAAGAAGATAGAGAAAATAGACGTTGTGAAGGATACAGGTGCTGATACAGTCTCTCTCTTGTATTATGAGTGTTCTCTTGTCAATGTTAAATTTTAGAGCTGGTAGATCAACCCCTAGATAAGTTTTGTATTTTCATTTGCCATTGATCACTTCTTGGTGCTAGACTGAAGAGACATGTCTTGTTCTCATAGTCATAAGTTACTTATTTCTGGATAATTCATAGTGTTCTATAGTTATAGTCTTCCCAGCAATAAATGAAAATCTCTGACTTTTGGAAATATGCTCACAGTATAATTTGTTGCATTTTTTAAAACACTGGGGATAAAAATTCAATATTTGCAGGTGCAAAATGCCTTCGCCGTTTTGACTCACTGGCAATATATGTAAAACTATCAAATGCAGGATGGTCTCTGGCCATGTGGTAGTCTGAATGTTTGTGTTCCTCCAAAATTTGTAGGTTGAAACCTAATCACCATTGTAATGATGTGGAGAGGCAGGGCCTTCACAAGGTGATTAGGTTGTTTGGGCAAAGCTCTTCTGAATGGGATTAGTGCCCTTATATAAAGGCCCCAGAAAACTCTTTCCTCTCAGACCATGTAAAGACATAGCAAGAAAGCACCATCAATGAATCAGGAAATAGGCCCTCACCACACACCAAATCTACCAGCACCTTAACCTTGGACTTCACAGCCTCTTTAGAAGTATGAGAAATGAATTTCTGTCATTTACGAGCTCCCCAGTTTATGCTATTTTGTTATAGTAGCCCAAAAGGAGTAAGGTGGCTGGGTGTGGTGGCTCACAACTGTAATCCCAGCACTTTGGGAGGCCAAGGCGGGTGGATCACCTGAGGTCAGGAGTTGAAGACCAGCCTGGCCAACATGGTGAAACCCTGTGTCTACTAAAAATACAAAAATTATCTAGGTGTGGTGGCAGGCACCTGTAATCCCACCTACTTGGGAGGCTGAGGCAGGAGAATCGCTTGAACCCAGGAGGCAGAGGTTGCAGTGAGCCGAGATCAAGCCACTGCACTCCAGCCGCCTGTATGATGGAGTGAGACTCAGCCTCAAAAAAAAAAAAAAAAAAAGGGACTAAGTCATGCCACCCGGGGAAGCAGACCCAGTTTCTCTTCTCTGAGGTAGAGGACAAGAATTGCCTAGGATGGTGATTCTTACCTCAACTTCTTAACTCTTACTGCTAGCAGAAAACGTTTTCAGAGTTTGGAAGATAGAAGAGACTCAGGAGTTGTGATATTTATTCAGACATGATCATCGGAAAGTTATAAAATGTAGTATAATTTGGGAGTTATTTATTAGGTTAGTGGGCTCTGAAGTTAAAGAAAATAAGATCAGTAAATCTGAAAGTAATATTTGTTAATTACCTTCTGTGTGGTAAGCACTAGGAAACATACAAATGTGAAATGTATTGATACTGCCTCTTTTATTATCAAATAGGAAAAGTGAAATAGAAATATAAATAATTCTAAACCATAAATTCTTTGAGGGCCTTGTACCTTTTTTCCCCCAAACTCGCTTATTGCCTCACTCATAGAAGTCAGTAGATTTTTGCTAAATTAAAAAGATGAAATAGACTACTGTAGATAAGTTCATTTATAAAAATATGTATACTACGCTCTGGGGTATAGAGTGAAAACAGATTGTAGACTAGGTAATTTGTGAATGTGGTGGCCCATGTGCTAGTGCTTACAAGGTAAGTAGGGCTTGGTCAGGAAGGAGGAGGTGCAAACCCCAGGGAAGCAGTCCAGGACCAGGTCTAGCATGAGCCGGAGTGCCTGATTCTGTTAGGAGCGGAACATACGTGGGTCCTGTGGCACCAAAATAGGTTCCCTGCAGTGAATCCACACGGGTCTGCATCAACCCTAGTTTTTGCTTTCTCAGAAGGAAGAATCTGAGCAGCACAAGGCAGAAGGAGAGACCGAGACCAGTTTTAGAGCAGGAGTGAAAGTTTATTACAAAACTTTAGAGCAGGAGTAAAACGAAGTAACGTACACTTGGAAGAGGGCCACGTGGGCAACTGGAGAGATCAAGTGTTCAGTTTGACCTTTTGACTTGGGGTTTTATAAATTGGCATACTTCCATGGTCTTGCAATCCTTCTCCCCTGATTTTATCCTTGGAGTGGGTTGTTCACATACCCAGTGGCCTGCTAGCACTTGGGAGGGGCTGCATGCACAGCGTTGACTGGAGTTGTATGCATGCTTACTTGAGGCGTTTTTCCCTTACCAGTCAAATGTCCCTAGAAGGTCATATACCAGTTAAACTGCACCATTTTGCCTCTTAATGTTGGTATTAGTCCGTTCTCACACTGCTGTAAGGACATACCTGAGATTGGGTAATTTATAAAGAAAAGAGGTTTAATTGTTGCACAGTTCCGTAGGTCTGGAGAGTCCTCACAATCATGACAGAAGGCGAAGGATGAACAAAGCCACCTCTTACATGGTGGCAGGCAAGAGAGTGTGTGCAGGGGAACTGCCCTTTGTAAATCCATCAGTTCTCGTGAGACTTATTCACTATCATGAACAGCATGTGAAAACCCACCGCCATGATTCAATTACCTATTACTGGGTCCCTCCCACGACATGTGGAGATTATGGGAGCTACAAGGCAAAATGAGGTTTGGGTGGGGACACAGCCAAACCACATCGATGGGCATGCTTGAGCCCACTTACCCAACTTTTAAGATCTTTTTGGGAAGCTGCTGATTGTCAGTTTCAGGTATTTCTGTTTATTGGGAAACTGCCTTTCCCTGGCACTGAATGTGACCAATTATTATTTTAAAGAGACAGTTAACAACCTTCTGACCATCACCTGATGGTTGCCTGACATTCCTTCTGTGTCTGAGTTGTGGGGGGAGCCCTCTGCTGCTCTGCTTATGTCTGACTAGCTGCCTACTCTAACAGTTTAATGAGAGGATGGAGAAGGAAAATCCCATTTGCATCATCGGGCCTCTTGACCAGGTCTTTTTTAAATGAAGAAATTTTGAGAGGATGTATTAGAAATATGTAAGTGAAATGGAGAAGTCAACATTGGAGGCAGGAGACTAACCTGGGTCTTTCTAGCTGCCCTCCAGGATTTAAATGGGGTGGTAAATTCATATATGATTTTAAAGAACCTCAAATGCACAGAATTGGAAAAATTGTAATCATTATTACATGAGACAATGCATGGCTCATTTTCTATGCATGGCTCATTTTCTATGCATGGCTCCCTGCTTTTATTCATTCATACATTTATTTATTTTTATTTAAAATAATATTATAAGCACTACGAACACAGGCCCCAAACTAAGCATATGGTCCCCCACAACCATCTGGTATCTCTACTTCTTCCCAAATGATTTCTGTGATCACCATTTCTTTCTTCCCCTTTAATATGGTTTTATTGCATTTGTATGCATTCCTTAAGAAATATGTACTTCTTTGTTGTTTTTACCTTTTTTAAAAGGCATTTTGCTGTGTGTAATGTTTGGACTTGTTGTCTCTCATTTAACATTGTATTGCTAGGATTCATCTCACATTTTTAAAAATGCAATTTCTTTTTGCATTTTGAATTATTTTCTTTTAGCTGTGATGAACGTGACAGTGACCCAGTAGTGATTTAATTAAATTAAGTAATTTATTTGCCTAGTTTAGTTAACTGCCACTGCAGGAAATCTGTGAGAGGGCTGGGTCCAAACTAAGTCTTCTTTGACATGATTGTGAAATAGTAGATTGTGTTAAATTCAACCTTAATTTGATTGAAAGTTCTTTGCTACTATCTAGTATATATCAGTAATAGCATATAAACGTAGCCTTTTTAGTTAATATGGTAGGACATTTTCTCAGATGCACCATAGTGAGACAATTTTAGCAAAATATCATAAACTTCATGAATTTGTAGTCATCATCCCCCTAACCAGAATAAACATTAAGTATGTTTAAAGTAGTAAATAAATGTGCCAGTTACAGCTGCACATAAAGATGAAACTTTGGGCCAGGCATAGTGGCTTAGGCCTGTAATCTCAGCACTTTGGGAAGCTGAGGCAGGAGGATCTCTTGAGTGTAGGAGTTCAATACCAGCTTGGACAACATAGTGAGACCTCATCTCTACAAAAAATAAAAAAATTAGCTGGGTGTGGTGGCACAAGCTTGTGATTCCAGCTACTTGAGGGACTGAGGTGGCAGAATGGCTTGAGGCCAGGAGGTTGAGGCTGCAGTGAGCCATGATCATGCCACTGCACTCCAGCCTGGGTGACTAAATGAGACCCTGTCTCAAAAAAAAAAAAAAAAAAAAAAAGATGAAATTTTGTGTGATACCTTAATCTGCCAGAGATTAATCAAGCTTACTAGAGAAAATGTGTAATATTTGACCATTCAAACATTAAAAAAAAAATACCCTAAAAGTCTTGGACTTTTGGGCCTAAGCTGAAACAATTATAATTGCTCAATTTCTTAAGAAAGTATATAATTCCACATGCATTGTTTCCCAGTATGAATCACATCATAAGAATGTTTTCTTGAATATTTCTGTCTTTCCCGAGTCAATTGAGAACAATGACGAGACAAGTCTCAATCATTTTAGGAGGTTTATTTGCCAAAGTTAAGGACATGCTGCCAGGAACCAGGTCTATGCTTCCCTCTGAAGATGATTTTGAGGGCTCCAAATTTAAAGGGGAAAGGGCAGGATTTTGAGATGTACACAGTTTTCATTTGGAAGGGGAGTAGGGAAAATAGTCACTCATGCCTTTGTCGGGCTCAGTGAATCTGCGTTTTTTTACATAAGATGACATAGACAATTGGGGCCAAGGAAAGATGCAGGGTATCTGTATTTTTACGTAAGATAACATAGAGATAATGGGACGGGGGGAACCATCAGATATGCATTTGCGTCAGGTGGGCAGGGGGTGTGGCTGCATCTGTAAAGATAAGCTATCCACTTACATTTCCATGGTGAAATTTCAACAGGAGTATTTTAGGGTAAAGATCTTGGAGCTCACCAGGAATTTCTTTCTGGGAAAAATATGGGGAAGGTGTGTAACTTTTCATCTCGTAGATATCTTATTTAGGAACCAAAAGGGGAGGTGTAAGAGTTAAAGAAAGAGGAAAGAAAGACAAAAAGCAGCTCAACAGTCAAAGACAGGTTTATTTTGGTGAATAAACCTGAGAGGGGCTTCTGGCCAATTTTGATCAGGAGCGCTCTGTCTTACAGAGTAAGAGTATTTAAAGGTTCAGGGCGAGAGAACTTATCACAGGCTTGGAATGTTTCTGTGTGGAGGAGAAGTTTATTGCAGGATTGGAATGTCTCTTGTTGGAGTGGAGGTTATCTTGGGGCTGACATCTCTCTGGCTGGAGGGAAGTTATCGCAGGGCTGGCATATCTCTGGTTGGGGAGGGGTTTATCTTAGGGTTGGAATGTTTCTGATCGGAGATGTCATTTGTGGTTTATGGTCATGGTGACCTTAGCCATTGGGGCTGATGCCCTTTGGATTTAGGCAGTTTTTGATCAAGGGAAACTTTTAAATGGCAGTGTTTGTCTAAGGTGGTGATGCTCCTGCTCTGTCAGGAGGCAGGTGTGTGTGACCCAGTTTCCATCTTAACTTTTACCTTTGGCTTAATGAGTTTGGGGTCCCAAGATTTAATTTCCTTTCACACCGAAACAGTGACTTTTTTGGTACTTAGTACTATTCCATGTTTGTGATGCTTAGTCAGCCACCTAAGATCAGGCACAGTTAGGTTACCAATAATACATGCCCTTTTGATGATGAATTCCAGATATATTAGATTTTCATTTACATTTTAATATAACATTTGTATTATTTCCAGTTCGTATTTTGTAGTATGGCATGAAAAGCCTAAAATATGAATATTTAAAATCTATCCTTTTAACTAATCTGACTTATAGAATATTTATAAAGTCATTTTATTTAAGTACGTATAGTAATTTGGACTACACAGATGTCCTCATTTTGCTTTAATGAAGAAATGAGAATGATTTGTGATGAGTACTTCAATTGTTTATATGCAATGCCTGAAAATAATTAGTTCTAGCAACTGCTAGATTGGAAGTTTTAGCTTTTAATTTTGTTTTCTCTAAAAGAGTTTAGAAAAACTGTTCTGTCTTACAGAGGAAATAGCAGGTAGTAGTTTCAAGCACATCTTCCGGTATCAAAACTTATGGGTACAATGCCAAGTTTTTGCTCTTCCATGTATTTAGCTATGTGATATTGAGAAAGTTGTTTAACTTCATGAAGGCACAGTTTAAATTAAAAAAAAAATTTTCAGTTGGCATGTAATAACTGTACATATTTATGGGAAATAGAGTGATATTTTGATATATGTATATGATGTGTAATGATCAAATCAGGGTAATTAGCATATTCATCTCCACATGTATAATTTGTTTTTGTTGTAAACATTCAAAATCCTCTCTTCGAGGGGAACAGCACACACCAGGGCCTGTTGGGAGGTGGGGGGTGAGGGAAGGGAACTGAGAGGATGGGTCAATAGGTGCAGCAAACCACCATGGCACACGTGTACCTATGTAACTAACCTGCACGTTCTGCACATGTATCCCATTTATTTTTTTCGAAGAAATAAAAAGCAAAACAAAATGAAAAAGCAGAATAAAATCCTCTCTTCTAGCTTTTTGAAATTATACAGTTAATTGGTAACCATATTCATCCAACAATGTTACAGAACACTAGAACTTATTCCTCCTATCTAGCTGTGCTTTTTGATCCATTAACCAACTTCTCCCTGTTTGCCCCTCCCCTCTTCCCAACCTCTAATAATAACAATTGTCTTCTCTGAGTTCAGTTACTTTTTAGCTCTCACATATGAGTGAGAACATTGAGGCAGAATAAGTAAGGCTAGGAGGCCATACTGACTTGTCCCCTTTTGTGAAGCCCTGTGGACCAGTGGATTGCCAGATGGTTCCAAGTTCCTAATACCCCGCATGGCTCGGGAAAGAGAACAAAAGTCCCTTCTTCTTTTTGTTGTTGTTTTGTTTGTTGGTTGGTTGGTTTGTTTTTGAGACAGGGTCCCACTGTGTGGCCCAGGCTGGAGTGCAGTCGTGTGATCATAGCTCACTGCAGCCTCTATCTACCAAGTTCAAGCTATCCTCTGGCCTCAGCCTCCTGAGTAGCTGGGACTACAAGCATGCACCACCATGCCTGGCTAATTTTTGTATTTCTTGCCATGTTGCCCAGGCTAGTCTCAAACTGCTGGGCTTAAGCAATTCTCCTGCCTTGGCCTCCCCAACTGCTAGGATTGCAGCATGAGCCACCATGCCCATCCAAGTCCTTATTCTTGATATAGCTTTCTCATTCTCCAGCCAATCAGCACCAAAAGCCCAGGAAGCTATTAGCTACAAATTCTTGCCTTGCAGAGAGAGGCTCAGAACTTCTCCAGGGTCCCACATGTGCAGCTAGGCTCAAGGTTTAGCTTATATGACCTTTTCCTCATTTTAATAGTAAAAATGCACACCCCTCGGTGGAGATTTTGTATGCTAATGATACATGCAATGCATGTGAGAGCATGTAGGCGCTGAGTACATGCACCAACTACAGGTCTTCTTTTGCATACTTGACCTCATTGGTATTTTATGAATGTGAATGAACAGCTCCTATAAAGGGAATTCCCCTGAAGGCACTAGCTGCTGTCTCTCCCTCTGAGCAGCTCCCTGTGCCTCTCAAGAGTGTACTTTCACTTTGCAATAAACTTCTTTGCCTACCCTTGCTTTAAACTCATTCTCAAATTCTTTTGTGTGCCGAAGTCAAGAACCTGAACCATCCCACTGACAAAAATATTTATTTTTCTGAAGGCACAGTTTTTTGATCTGTAAAATGGTATAATAGTACCTATCTAATAAGTTGTTATGAAGAATAAATTATGTATAGCAGGACCTCAAATAACGTCGTGTGTTTTCTTTTCTTTTCTTTTTTATTTTTTGAGACAGAGTTTTGCTCTATTGCCAGGCTGGAGTGCAGTGGTGCAATCTCGGCTCATTGCAACCTCTGCCTCCTGTGTTCAAGTGATTCTCCTGCCTCAGCCTCCCAAGTAGCTGGGACTACAGGTGTGTGCCACCACGCCCAGCTAATTTTTGTATTTTTAGTAGAGACAGGGTTTCATCATGTTGGCCAGGATGGTCTCGATCTCTTGACCTCGTGATCCACCAGCCTTGACCTCCCAAAGTGCGGGGATTACAGGCGTGAGCCACCATGCCCAGCCATGTCGTGTCTTTTCTTTACAAGGTTGATGAGAAAAAAAATTGCTTCCCGGTGGGGCCACCACCTGTGTGGAGATGGCACTTTCTCCCCATGCCTGCCTAGGTTTTCTCCCATATCCCAAAGCTGTGCCATTAGGTGAATCAGCTGTCTAAGTTGTCCCCATCTGCCAGAGTATAAGTGTGTGAGTGGCCCTGCCATGGGATGAAGTCCTGGACAGGGCTGGTTCTTGACTTGTGTCCTGAACTGCAGAACAGGCTGCAGCCATCCGAGACCCTGAACTGGAATAAGCAGGCTGGAAAATGAATGAACATACGCCCTGAAAAACATTGTCAAATAAAAATTTTACGAGTAGCTGATAGTCACACAAGTGCATAAGAATAAACGATGCCGTGCAAAGTGCTCAGCAAGCTGCCCCAGTTGTGATTGTTTGTTTTTGAGCTGCACAGTGGAAGGAGGTGCTCCTGACAATTTTCACTTCACAAACATTTTATTCCTTGATTTTGCCCACCACCACTATGACTGCTATCACTCGTAGAGCCACCAAAAATTGGGTTAATAATTATCTTACTCGTTTCAATTAATCTTTCTTAAATGCATGTATAGCTCACATTTATTTCAATGTTTAATATTACAAGTGTTTTGGATCTTCATTTAGAAGTTTGGTGATGTTTTTGTGACCAGAAATATGCCTTAGGAACTTCACTCTTGTTTATATCAGTATATGGCAAAATTAGCTTCATTATATGTCATTTTCCTTAAAGTCATAGTTTCCAGGAACTTCTCAATGATATTGGGTGAGGTCTGACTGTAATGTAAGGTAGTCATGTGTTTTATTGTTTACTAGAGAGAAAGTTTTCAATATTTTGGCTACAAGTTAAGTGGAACTTAGCCTTGTGCGAGAGTAATATCTACACTGACTTATCATTTTTTCTTTCTGTAATAGGATCAAATTTTCTAAATTAGTGGGTTTTCTTTGTATGTGTATGTGTGTTGAAGACTTTATCATTGGAAAATTCCAATACATGTATGAGAAAGGACTTCCAACATTTCTGGCCAATTGCACTTTTAACTGAGAGCTTATATGGCTATAAATAGCTACATGGAGGTACCTGATTTCTTCTATTAACCCACGTCCTATGTCAAATTTTCCTCAGGGGATCGGATAGTTAATTGACTAGGTTTGCTCATGTTCCCTCTCTCATTGCAGATATGACTTACTAAAGCAAATGCTGTTTTTAATTGGTTTGTGAACGATTTAATCAGACAGTGTTTATGCTCTGGTCATAAAGAACGCCCTGCAATGGGCTCGCCATCTGTTCAAAATAAAAATGAAATCCCCTTTGAAGATGTAGGCAATTGATAGAAAGATTTTAATGAATGTTTAATGTTTCTGGATCTATGAGAGGGGCTTACCGCGACAGTAACATAAATGTTGTCTAAGCCTGAGGGCTCAATCTTAGTATTTCAGTTCTTATTAAGTCTCTGTTGGAGTACTGTATTTTAAATTTCTGAAGTTGTATACCAAAGTGATAGAGTGGGGATTGAGTCCAGTGAAGTGTTTGCCCCAGTCAAATTCTCTTTTGAATCTCTGCTCACCCCTGCCTGGTTACTGCCGTCCAATAAGAGTGTTTTGACTGCAAAGTGGTTTTCTCCTTTAGCAACCCATCTTTCTTCAGATATTGTTTATTTTATAAATTATGCTTTATGGATTTTAGCCAACATTTTCATCTCTTTGGAATCCAAACTATGTTATCCTGCTATTCTGTTATGCATCATTTCCTTTCTGATATACATTCTAACTATACTTATTTCATGTTTGAATGACCTCGTATTCTCCTTCCTGACATTTTGTTTCTGAAACGTGGGCTCATTATAGCATCCTGCCCGTCTTCTTTGACCATTGCTGTCTCTTCAAATTGAAGTGCGTAGTCATAGCAAACCCAGTAAGAGGTCTAGCTAGGGAACAATTTTCTAATTTAAGATTGTCACTGCATATGGTTTAGTTTTCCCATGGTTTTCTGATTGAGGTTGTTACAAGGGTATTATAAAAGAGGGAAGAGGAAAGCTTTTCCCCAAAAGCGATATCATGAAGTATATAAACTTGACCTACAATGTGAAAATTTAGTGTATTTTCTTCAATATAAAATGCTACTTGGCACAGTGGATGTTTCCCAGTGTCATTTTGCTATAGAATAGTTGCCTATTTGTCAGAAACTATTTGTCAGTTTTCTCAGTATCTGCAGGTGGTAAGTATGCTTCAGAATTCAGGCAAGGAAAATTGTGTGCTCACAGGGATTCGTGCAAGTGCTTGACAAAAAATATGATCTTATTTCTGAATTCTTCCACAGCTTCAATGTGCATAATCAGGGTATTTGCTAGATTTCTTGTTATCAGGAACAGTTTAATCAATCTTAATTGACGATAGTGGTCATCATCACATTTTGGACATCAAAAATTTTCCAACATTTATTTTATCTTCTAATTATTATATTTCACACAAATAAATGCAGTTTGCATGTAAAAGAAAGCAAAGAGAATCAGGTATCTATGAGGAGAAATTCTGCTAATGTAGCTGTTAGGATGTAGTAGCATGGACATACTTATGATAATGGCCTTAGGGATTGGAGAACAAGCCAAATCAGATATAAATTAGGATCCTTTTGGCTACAAGTAATATAATAGCATACTAAATGCAACTTTGGTAATAAAGGCTTACAATTTCATATAAGTTCAGAGACAGGCAGTTTCAGAACTGATTTGATGCTCAGTGGTATCAGGTTTCTGTATTTTTCTTTTCTACCAGGGAAGAAATTCTGTCCTGGAAGGTCCTAGCAGATTTCTCATTACATGTCACTGCCCAGAATGAGATACCAAGCCTCCTACCAAAGTATGCTTCAACAACGGTCCACGGAAGGGGAGGGCAGGCTTGTGACAGGTTGAGAACAATCACGAATAATTCCTTGGAGGTGGGCCCCTTCCCTGAGCATGTTGGCATCTCAACAAAATTGGAGATCTGTTAACAAGGAAGATTGGGATAGGGTGGAGGTGACTGCTGGGTATAACAAATAGTATTTTCTAGCCAAAGAGCATAGACGAAGAGTGTGAATGGAGGAAAGAGCTCATCAAAAAAATACGTGGATACACGGGCTGTTTTTTTAAAATTATTTTAGGGCATGTTATGTAACAAAAATGTATTTTGACTTGTATTTCAGAAACGAAAAAATAAATTGTTGAAAGCAAAAAGGAATATGGATGGAAACAGTAAATGGTTTCTGACTATTTCACATAGTGTGTGCAAATGCGAAGATATGATTAATTAGGTAACATAATGGTTTTGCTAGTTTGATAGGGATGGCTTTAAATAATTATTTTCTGCTCTATTTGGGATTAAATGTATTGCTCCTCCTCTGGTTTTAAAGCATTAACCTCTCTTAGAATATCTCAGTTTGGTATCATCAGGTGAAATGTATCTTCTTGGGTAAAATTATTTTGCAGATGCTCAGTGTATAAACTGGAAGTATAAGAGGAAAAAAACAAGGCTCAGAGGAATTTTTGGTAGCATTTGCCTAATCATGCAAGCTGAAATTGGTTTACCTTTAATGCATGAATTCTCTCATGTTGAGGGAAATTAAGAGAATTCTTGCACTTTAAGAGGGCTGGGCTGTTAAATCCTCAAAACCACTTTTCACTTGTAGAAAACTCAGTACAATTTTCTATGTGAGTCTCAAAACTTAAAAAATCCCCACAGCATAGTCAGAAACGTGCATTTATTACATTTTGTGAAAAGGCTGTATTAAACATTGGGTTACACTGCATATTTTATTTTTGTTTATTTATTTATTTAGAGACAGGGTCTTGCCGTGTCACCCAGGCTGGAGTGCACAGTCATAGCTCACTGTAACCTTGAAATCCTGGCACAGTCATAGCTCACTATAATCTTGAACTCCTGGACTTAAGCAATCCTCCCATTTCTGCCTCCCAGGTAGCTGGGAGACTACAGGTGAGTGCCACTACATCCTAACAATTTTTGTAACTTTTGTAGACAGGGATCCCGCTATGTTGCCCAGGCTGGTCTCGAACTCCAGGCCTCAAATGATCCTCCTGCCTCAGCCTCCCATTTTTTATTTTAAAAATAAAGTCTCAGATAGACTGACAACATTGCATAGTTGCTGAAAGCATAGACTTTGGAGCCAGACTGTCTGGGTTTCTATCCTTGCTCAGCTACTAACTAGTTTTGAGACTTTGAGGGGGTTATATCTCAGCTTTCTCAAACACAAAACGGGAAGATTTACCTATGTCATGGGATTATTCTGAGGATTAAGTTGTTTTTAATTTCTTCAAGTATCACTTGGCACACAGTAATATTCAGGTTTTAAAAATACAAATATGCCTTGAATTATCATTGCATGCTTTCTTATTAAATATATTAGGATAATCAAAATATTTTTTCTGAAAAAATTCTCTAAATATAGCATTCCTGTGGCATGTAACATTTTCTGTTATTTTTTTCCCGGATACACGCATATATGGAATAAATTATTCAATATATTTCTGAGGAATATCTATATTGCATTATTCTTTCTAGATGCAAGCTTATTGAGGGTAGAGAGAACTTCTTAATAGTTGGGCAGACAACGTATTGTACCACTTTATGAAGCTGATGATATTAGGGAATTAATGTGTTCCATAATGTGCACAAAGAAATTCAGATTGTCAAATTCACTGCCAATGTCAACAGGTCTAGACTAATGAAAATTATAGCTGGCAAAATTAGTGACCCTAGGAACAAACTTTAACATTTATACACTTCTATTGGGCTATAACATGTATACCCTAATACTTTCGCTAACTGTCCATTAGTACTTTAATATAAAGGACAAGCTTTTAAGGATTACTGATGGTAGGCCATATATCTATTTGGACATATTTATAAGATATATATGGTCTTTCAGGGCCATGTATCTCATAAAAGCAAAAAAAAAAAAAAGATCATAAGCTAAATATAACGAAAGGAAATAAAACTAAAAACCGTTAATAGACCTATGTAAATGGCTGAAGGATGGCAATCTGCAGAATGAAATAATTTTCCATGGAGATGGGTTAGGTCCTGAATGTCAGATTTGGATGAGTGGATGCAATGGTGAGGAGACTACCAAGGACATTCCAGGGCAGGAGGGGGACCCTAGCCAAGGTCTCATATGGGGCTTGTCATTGTTCTTATGGGATTGACCTGGATACTGGTATTAAAGGAACTGCCCTGATTGAAGTATATACAACATGTTTTCCCCTCTGATTTTTTTTTTCTGATTTTAGAGACTGAGCATATATTTCAGAGTGTTTTTTTGCTATACATAATCACATTCTAATATAAGAAGAGTATTCAGAAAGTTCTTAAATAGACCTATTTCATCTTGTTCTTGTTTGGTGTAGGAGTATATTGAATATATATACATATATATATTTGAAGGATGAGGATATTTGCTTGGCTTAGGTGGCCATGAAGTTCTCAAGCTTGTGGTTTGCAGCCCAGCCTAAAGCATTGGATACATTCCTTTACAGACCAGATTCCCTCATCCATCTTTGCTGCCATCCACAGTGAGGTGATGTTGATGGCTAAGTTAGTATGTTTCTAGCAAAGTTATAATGTTGAAAACTTGTGTCTTAAAAAGGTATAAGAAGAGCCTTTAGGGAAATGCCTTAATAGTTTTGTTCCCATCAAAGAAAGGTAAATAATTCAACAAAAGGGGAAGCAAATAATCCAATGTATAAATCATAAACACATAATTAAAAGTCAGACTATACATATATATGTGTGTGTATATATGCACATATATACGTATATGTGTGTGTATATATGCATATATATACGTATATGTGTGTATATGCACATATATACGCATATGTGTGTGTATATGCACATATATACGCATATGTGTGTGTATATGCACATATATACATATGTGTGTGTATATGCACATATATACGTGTGTGTATATGCACATATATACGTGTGTGTGTATATGCACATATATACGTGTGTGTATATATGCACATATATACGTGTGTGTATATATGCACATATATACGTGTGTGTATATATGCACATATATACGTGTGTGTATATATGCACATATATACATATGTGTGTATATATGCACATATATACCTGTGTGTATATATGCACATATATACCTGTGTGTATATATGCACATATATACATATGTGTGTATATATGCACATATATACATATGTGTGTGTATATGCACGTATATACATATGTGTGTGTATATGCACGTATATACATATGTGTGTGTGTATATGCACGTATATACATATGTGTGTGTGTATATGCACGTATATACATATGTGTGTGTATATGCACGTATATACGTGTGTGTGTATATGCACGTATATACATATATGTGTGTGTATATGCACGTATATACATATATGTGTGTATATGCACGTATATACATATATGTGTGTATATGCACGTATATACATATGTGTGTGTATATATGCACGTATATACGTATATGTGTGTGTATATATGCACGTATATACGTATATGTGTGTGTATATATGCACGTATATACGTATATGTGTGTGTATATATGCACGTATATACGTATATGTGTGTGTATATATGCACGTATATACGTATATGTGTGTATATATGCAAGTATATACGTATATATGTGTGTGTATATATGCACGTATATACGTATATATGTGTGTATATATGCACGTATATACGTATATGTGTGTATATATGCACATATATGTGTGTGTATATGCACATGTATGTGTGTCTATATGCACATGTATACGTGTGTGTCTATATGCACATGTATACGTGTGTGTCTATATGCACATGTATACGTGTGTGTCTATATACACATGTATACGTGTGTATATACACATATATACGTGTGTGTATATACACATATATGTGTGTGTATATACACATATGTGTGTATATACATATATATGTGTGTATATACACATATGTGTGTATATACACATATATACATATATGTGTATATACACATATATACATATATGTGTATATACACATATATACATGTGTGTGTATATACACATATATGTGTGTGTATATACACATATATGTGTGTGTATATACACATATATGTGTGTGTATATACACATATATGTGTGTGTATATACACATATATGTGTGTATATACACATATATGTGTGTGTATATACACATATATACATATATCTATGTGTGTATATATACACATATATACATGTCTGTGTGTGTATATATATACATATATGTGTATATATACACATACATATATGTGTGTGTATATATGTACACATATACGTATATACATGTGTGTATATATGTGTACATATATATGTGTATATATATGTGTATATATATGTGTATATATGTGTATATATATGTGTGTATATATGTGTATATATGTGTGTGTGTATATATATGTGTATATATGTGTGTGTGTGTATATATATATATATATATATATATATATATATATATCTCAAAGTCACATAGCTCCAGAGCTCCACAGGGGTACAAGTATGAGTACGTTCACTGCAGTGTTTAACTACAGATAGTTGGAGACAAAATGGGTGTCTATTACAGAGGGATGAACAGTAAAGCATGTGTCCATCTTGGAGTATTATGCAGCAGTTAGCAGGAGTGGACTAGATATATACATGGAAATATGGGTAGATATTTGGTCTTAGTCCTTTTGGGCTTCTATAACAAAACGCTATAAATAGGATGGCTAATATAGAACAGAAATTTATTTCTTCCCGTTCTGGAGGCTAGGGGATCCAATAAAAGGTGCCAGCAAATGCAGTGTCTGCTGAGAGCCTACTCATCATAAATGGTGCCTTTTCACTGCATCCTCCCACGGTGGAGATGGCTAATTAGTTTCTGGGGTCTTTTTTATCATGACACTTATCTCATCTAATCACTTCTCCAAAGCCACATCCCTCAATACTGTCACACGGGGATTAGTTACATTGTATTAATTTTGGGAGGATGCAAACATTCAGACCGTAGCATATTTGAAAATAAAATTCTGAGAAAAAAGAAACAAATTGAAATATATAACACAACCCTATTTGTACAAAATAAAATACATGAAAACCAACCAAGCCCATATATTTTATAAGAACATATCAAGAAAATGATATATGTTGAATATATGAAAATGGTTGACTATGGGAGTGGGGGAGGAAAACAGGAATTGAGAAGGAGGAATGGTGTAAAAAAAATAGGATTAAAGATGTCAATATTCTCTGTGAACTGAGGAGTATAATTTCCTGACCTCTGCTCCTTCCATCTAATAAAATCTGTCCCAGCCTCCAGCCTCCTGTTTCTTCTGCCAAATACAGAAAGTAGATCAAATAAACAAAAAAGCAAAGCTTGAGTGTATAGAGTATGTGTTCTTTGTAAATTTAGCTTCTTGCAAAGTGATTTTGATCTATTCATTCTTGTTTAAATGTGCTTATGTTTATGTAAACATCCATGTTAATAGTTCTTCAGTAACAAACTTTACTTCTCTTTTTGAGGTTGAAAAGTTTTTAAAAAGACTAGTCTGAAGCACCTCTTTTCCTGACGCAAAAAGTCTTGAAGCAATATTCAAGACTGAATGCTTGAAAACACTGCCTTCTGTGTTCTCTTGTGCCGAGGATCTCCCCTATGTCTCAACCGTGCTCAAGGCTGTCTCAGCTGAATATTTCCTTATAACACCACTCTTAACTGACATTTCTTCATCATGATGCACTAGTGCCTGTTCCAATGTTGCTTTGCTTTAGTTGATACCAATCAAATACTTCAAACTGCAGATGGAGAAGGACATTGCCAGTTAGAAACTTAGGGGCTCATACTTCGTTGAAAAACAGCTGATGTTTCTATGTTGAAAAGCATGTTCTCAGAGTATTAGAAGTAAACTTCTCTTCATCCATGTCCCTGCAAAGGATATGAACTCATCTTTTTATGTCTGCAAAGTATTCCATGGTGTATATGTGTCACATTTTCTTTATTCATTCTATCATTGATGGACATTTGAGTTGGTTTCAAGTCTTTGCTATTGTGAAAAGTGCTGCAATAAACATACGTGTACGTGTGTCTTTGTAGTAGAATGATTTATAATCCTTTGGTTATATCCCCAGTAATGGGATTGCTGGGTCGAATGGTATTTGTGATTCTAGATCCTTGAGGAATCGCCACACTGTCTTGCACAATGGTTGAACTAATTTACACTCCCACCAACAGTGTGAAAGCGTTCCTATTTCTCCATCATTCTCGGCAAGCAAACACAGGAACAGAAAACCAAACACTGCATGTTCCCACTCATAAGTGAGAGTTGAACAATGAAAACACATGGACACAGGGAGAGGAACATCACACAGTGGGGACTGTCGGAGGGTGGGAGGCTAGGGGTGGGATAGCATTAGGACAAATACCTAATGTAGATGACGGGTTGATGGGTACAGCAAACCACCATGGCATGTGTATACCTGTGCAACAAATCTGTACATTCTGCACATGTATCCCAGAACTTAAAGGAGATATATATATATATATATATATATATATATATATATATATGGTCACTTAAGACAATAACAAAAACAAAACAAACAAAACAAAACAAGTAAACTTCTCAGAAAATTTGTGCTTAATGTATTTTTATTAAACAAGTTCTGTAGAACTGATGTTTCTTATTTTTGTTAATGATATCCAGGAAACTCACTTGATAAAGGGCAGGAACCAGAATTTCTCAATTTTATTACTATATTTTGTTACTTTGGTTCTCCCAGGAATATCTTCCTTCAATTGAATTATGAGCCTGTATGAATTCATTCAAGAAATAATCAGCACCTACCATCCTACTATGTTCCTGGCTCTGTTCTATGTGTCCAGAGCATATCAGAGCCCCATACAAAGATCCTTATCTTTCTGGGTATCCCATGCTAGCAAGGGGATAAAGACAAAAAGCAATAAACATAATACATGAGTGATTTATATTTTATGTTAGAAGGTGATAAGTGATATACAAAAAATTTTTAGAAGTGTAAGGGGGATTAGGAGGGCTGGAAAATTGTGGGGAAAGAGCTTAGAAGGATGTAGTATTGAATTAGTAGTCATTGAACAGATACAATTATTAACAAATTTCGAAACAGGTGAGGATGTTGCCAAAGGATATTTGGGAGAAGAGCTTTCCAGTCAGAGAGAACAGCTTAGAACTCAGGCCTTAAGGCAAGTAGAGTGCCCCGGTGTGTTCTCACAACAAGGAGGCCAGTGTGGCTGAGCAGCGTTGGGGAGGTGAAAGTGGAGATGAAGTCGGGGAAGTAATGGAGGGGCCAGTAGTTGTAGAGTCTTGTGGGACCTTGTAAGGACTTTGGATTTACTGCAAGTGAATGAAGAATCATTATATGGTTTTGGGTTGAGAAGTGCCATGATTTAACTGACGATTTAAAAGGCTCAGTCTGGCTTCCATGTGAAAAATAGAGTGTGGAGATACCATGGTATACACATGTAACAAAGCTGCACATTGTGCACATGTACCCTAGAACTTAAAGTATAATAAATATATGTAAAAAGAAATGAGAAGACCTAGTGCTGTAAACCTTAAGTAAGAGAGGTTGGTGGCTTTGTAGCAGTGAAAAGTGGTGAGAATCTTTTGGATTCTGGAAATATTTTAAAGCTAGATCCAAGAGAATATCGAATGGATTTGATACAGGGCGGGAAAGAAAAAGTCAAAGATAATTCCAGAGCTTTGGCCTGAACAACTGGAAGGATAGTGTTGCCATCAAATGAGACAGGGAAGACTATAAGTGGAACATGTTTGGGAGGAAAATCATGAGATCATGAGTCTGATTTTAGAAATTTGACTTTGGAATGTTTATTAGACATTCAGGGGGCAATGTTGAGCTGTCGGATGTATGAATCTTGAAATCGGGAGAGTAGTCTAGGCTGGCAATACAAATTTGGGACTGGCCAGCATATAGATGGTACCTAAAACTATGAGACTGGATGTGATCCAAGGAAGAGACAGTACACAGAGAAGAGAATGGACCAAGGGCTGAGCGCACCAAAATTACCAGTTAAGGAACAAGAGGGAAGACTGGGAATCTGTAGATTAGTATGGTAGAAGAAAATTCAATTAAGGGGAATATTCTGAAATCAAAGAATTCAACTGTTAATCAAAGATTGAAACAGGAAATAATCATTTAAAACTGGCTGCTCATTGTCTATAAAATTGTCTTGGAAGATACTTTCTTTCGTATTGCTTGATGAATTTTGCGCATAAAGCCAAAGGACGTTCCACTGAAAGTAGAACTGGGAAAAGCTTGTATCTTTTTTTTTTTTTTGAGATGGAGTCTTGCTCTGTCGCCCAGGCTGGAGTGCAGTGGCGCGATCTCGGCTCACAGCAAGCTCCACCTCCCGGGTTCAAGCCATTCTCCTGCCCCAGCCTCCCGAGTAGCTGGGACTACAGGTGCCCGCCACCACGCCCAGCTGATTTTTTTTTTTTTTTTTTTTTTTTTGCATTTTTAGTAGAGACGGGTTTTCACTGTATTAGCCAGGATGGTCTCGATTTCCTGACCTCGTGATCGGCCCGCCTCGGCCTCCCAAAGTGCTGGGATTAGAGTCGTGAGCCACCGCGCCCGGCCAAAAGCTTGTTTCTTTTAAAGGATTATACTGATTATCTTTTAAAAAAACAATAAGAATCCCAATATACAATTTACTTGTTTATACATACTGCTATGGTTTGGATGTTTATCCCCTCCAAACCGTATGTTTTGGTGATGGGGCGGATTCCACATTTCTTGTGATGTGATATCTGTACATGCCGGCTTCCTTTAGGCTTCTGCCATGAGTGGAAGACGCCTGAGGCACTCACCAGATGCCAATGCCCACTCTTGAACTTTCTAGGCATCAGAATCATGAGCCAAACAAACAATGCTTTTTTTGTTTTTCATAAATCACCTAGCGTCAGGTATTCCTTTATAGCAACACAAAATGGAGTAAGACCTAAACTTTGATCCATACATTTAAAAAGAGAATTAGAGAACCGGAGTTGACTTTTGGACATACCTGAGGTATAGGGAAAGAAATAGTAAGATAATCTAATGCCAAATGAAAGATTCAGGGACAGAAGCATCACAGAAAGTCATTTTCATTTGTAAGAAGGGGATTAAAACTTTGGCTTGGACCTTTCAGTAGCTAGAACAAACAGAGAAACATAAGCAGTTGAAATAATCATGATGTCCATAAGTTTCAAATGAGAAATGTTTCTGGTACTAAAATCATAGTGAAGTTTTTCTCATGGATACTCATAAAAAGGCTCTGTATGTTTTGGTGGAAGGTATAATCCATAACATTCTTGTGATATCCAGTGTTAAATTTCACTGACCTATTTCTCATTATTTCTTCCCTTTAGAGATTATGATATCAAAGAGAAATTTCTTCAGATCATTCAGTGAAGAATCAAATTAGTTTTATTATTGTCTGGATTGATCCAATAATTATATTAAATGTCTGGAAGTTAGTCTCAATCTCTCTTGTCTGTTCCCTTTTGACTTACTTTATATATTCCTAAAAATCATGTGTGTGTTGAGCTGTGTACTCATGGCAATAGGAATGATGTGAATGTTTAACCAACACGGCTCGTTGGATTTTTGTTTATTTTTCCCTTTGGGAGAAAAGGAAAGTTGGAAAAGTCAGGACAAGACATTTCTAAGAAGGGAAATAGTGACTTTATTTATGTAATACCTTTAAGTGTAATACATTTAATTCATACAGATCCTTCTGTACTTGATGAAGCCTGTTATACTTATCAGACTAGACTTTCCACCATCTGCTGGACTTTTATGCTGAAAGTAGCAGCAGTTCTTGTGCCATGTTGAGGAAGGAGATTAAATTCTTCAAGCCACTCAGCCATTAAATTACATTCTAATGTTCAGTGATGTTTTAACAGGGATCCTCATTATTATGATATTAGCGTACTTGAATTTGATATTGTACCATGGTTTTGAACTAGTCCTGCTAGTGGTGCTGAGAAATTAAGAATACAGGAAAGAATTATCTGTAGCTTGCTTTTATGAGGGAAACAATGTTAGTTAGTGTAAAAAAACCTACTTGCCCAAATACCTGCTATTTCTTTCTCCTCTTTTTACTTAGAGAGTGGCTGGGGCTGAGATGACTTGGAGAAGTAGGAGAAATGTAAAGGGAAGGCATTCAGTTTAATTATTAAAATGGTGTGATGCTTATTGTGTTTACAGAAGACTAAGAATTCATTTTTTAGTTGTTGGGTAGATGTTAGTGTGGTTATAATTATTGCAAAATAAACATTTGGGCAATAATAATAATAATAGTATTTCAAATCAGTAAATAGATGTGATACAGAAATAGTACTTTTTTTCTCCTATCTCTCAAGTACATATCAACATATGCAGAATATACTTCATATGTTCTTCAATGAATAGGAGAACCATTTTCTGGGAAGTGGTTATGATTCTTGAAATAGATAATTATATAATGTTTGAAAATATCATTAATAACAGATTCACTGAAATGCACACTATATAAGTCAAACTTTCTAAAAAAAAGTAAATGTAATATCATTTCACCACCAGCCATGATGTAATGTTGAAATGTGTTAGGATCTTCTTGGTGCTAACTACTTAACGTTTCATGTATCAGGAGCAGTTACACAAACAGTAACAATTCACATACTTGTAATGACAAATCGAATAGAAGGCAGATGAAAATAAGATAAATTCAGATATCCATTTAGTTCTTTGTGAATTACAAATGTGTGCAATTACTTAGGTAATGGCATGGTGTTGGTGTCATTCAGCTGCTGGCATATGGATAATGGAGAACATTTCATCAGTATTTGAGTGAATGCTATTTTATTGCCTTTTGTTGGAGTCTTCCTTTTCACCCCAATGATTTCACATTTTCTACTTGCTGTCTCATTCTTGACTTCCCACTCTTTGGATTTTCTCAGTGGAGCACTTTATCTCACTCCTAAGTAGCTCCAATAGTTTCAGTACACAGTTCAGTGAGTCAAATTGATGAAGCATTAAGGTTGAAAACACCACTGGTGATTTTTTCTTAAAAGTTGTATTTAGATGGAAAATATTCTTGAGAAAACCTTGAGAAGCACTAGAATGCAGTAGAATTTTACTTTCATATGACTTCTATCAATGCAGCTAGACTGGATTTAGTTTTCAAGTTGTCCCATCCTAAAATTGATCCTAGTGAGTTCACAGTTAAAACTTTTATGTTTTTTCCAAGTGAATTTTAGCTATGTTACCTATCTTCTCATTCTGTACTTATGTAATTATTTTTTGAACATAAATACAGGGCTTTAAATTCACCTTTTGAGTTTGAGATCCAATCTCTCATAGTGATATTTAATTTTGGTTTTATTATTAGGTTCTTACAAAGGTAATTGTGGTTTTTGTCATTAAATGCCACAATTACCTTTGTACCTAACTGATATATTATTCTACTTTCCAGCTTTCTGAAATCTGTACATTTGATGAGCATAAATTTCATTTTTATTATGTTTTTATTTTTTATATTTTTGGTGTATTTTCCACATGTTCTATTTTTTTTCTATTTTATTTTTATTTTTTCCGTTATTTTAATTTTTTGATAAAGAATAAATTTTATGTTTAATCTTAGTTAAATAATTAGTTTAATTTTTAAGTATGAGTATAGTAAGTATATAAAGTCTGTTGCAAGTTTTCATAGCATAACTGACAGGCAAAGTCAATGAAGCTATTGCAAGAAAAAAAAGACACCTGTGAAACTTAAATGTAGGTTCATGAAAAGACAATGTAAATATCTAGAAGGTATAGAAGGTCAGAATAAAACTGGCTAGACTGAAGGAGAATTTAAGCAATATCTTGCAAAGTTCTTAAGAGTGAACTATAGGAGATCCTCAAATAGTCAAGAAAGGAAACCAGCTATAGAATCAATGCTACCACTTAATCAGAGCAAATTTGGGATTCAGCAATGAAAAGGAGTGAGGTGGATAGATAGATAGATAGAATAGTATGTTTTTTGCCTGACTCCTTATTGAAAGATGTGAGAAAAATCTATTTAATAAAATATCCCTGAAAATATTTATATTAGACACATTCCTTTATTAAATACATTTTAGATGTTACATATTTTACACAGTACTTATTTTTACAGCTACAGCAAGTGTGACCTATTAATCTCAAACTCCAGTCAATAATCATTAACCTATATATTAAAGTTACAAAATGACTTATAGTATGCCTTCTAGTTTAACCTAGTTTTCTTTATCACTGGGGAAATAATTTTCTATGATTCCATGAAGTATTCCTTCTGAGTTAATTGGGAACACGAAGGAGCATAAAATTCGAGCTTTCACAATATAAGTGTATGTTGTTTTTGCTTATTCATTCATTCCATAGGCATTTATTTAGTATCTTCTATGCTGGGGATATGTCATATCTTCCTCAAGCATTGTACCATCTCATAGAGTTTACAGTCCCTTTTGCAGCTAGAGCTGTGTGTGATTCCTTTTTCAGATCTGGTTGTTAATCTCAAAGTAATCTCAAAGTTACCATTACTCCTGTGGTCCAGTTGGAAGCACAGTCTCAATGTGGATCATGAAACAAAGGCTGTGATGGATGCTGCAGTGTTCACAAGACACGGTTAGTATGCAAATAATTGGGCAATGCAACTGTTGGGTAAACCTACCATCTACATTGAGAGAACAGTTCATTTAAGTGACCACTATTGAGGAATGATTTCACAGTCTGCACCTTTTAGCTACTTATAGCCATTTTAATTTTTGCTAGTGAAATTTTTATTAGTGAAATTGTGCAGAACAATAGCTAATTGTCCAAAAATACTAATAATATTTTTATAGTTTAAGTGTGCATTTTATAGATAAATCTTTTATCAAGTATTTGCTATTTCAAATAATGCCACTGTTAAATTATGAAATTATTCAACTTATTTTACTGGAGAAACCATTACTTTCTTTAGATGAATATACTCTTCCCTTCTCTGAGTTGTAATGGAAATAAGGTCATATTAACATATTTGATCAATCTATATTTTACTAAAACATTCCAAGGACTACTAAGCTCCTTGGCCTAGAATGCAATTTATGGAGGAAAAAATAATTTGTTTAAAATGTTATATTAAAATTTAGAGACAAAGTTATTTTTGGATGTTCTTCTTTACTAGAATTTATAATTTTATTTGCATTCTGTTTTTTTTTTCAAGTAGGTTTTATTTTGTAGAGTAGTTTTAGGTTTACAGCTAAACTAAGCAGAAGGTACAGAGATTTCCCATATAGCCTCTGCCCACACACAGGTGTAGCCTTTTCTATTATCAACATCTGCCACCAGACTGGTGCATTGTTGCAACTGATGAACCTACACTGTCACATTATCATCCAGAGTCCATAATTTACATTAGGGCTCACTCTTGGTATTGTATATTCTGTGGGTTTGGACAAATGTACGACATGCACCAACATTGTAGGATCATACAGAGCAGTTTCACTGTCCTAAAAATCCTCTGTGCTTTGCCTATTCCTTCCTTCTTCCTCCGAAATTCTGGCAACCCTTGATCTTTTTTACTGTCTCCATAGTTTTAGGTTTTCCAGAATGTAACATTGTTGGAATCATACAGTATGTAGCTTTTTCTGATTGGCTTCTTTTACTTAGTAACATGCATGTAAGTTTCCTCTATTCATGGCTTGATAGCTTATTTCTTTTTAGTACTGAACTATATTTCATTGTCTGGATATAACACAATTTGTTTTGTTTTAGTGTGTGTGTGTGTGTGTGTGTGTGTGTGTGTGTGTGTGTGTTCCACAGTTAGAATGTAAGCATCATTTAAAAAAAAAAAGGATTTTGTCTGTTTTTTCATTACCCTAATCTCCAGGCCCTGGTACAGAGCAGATGCTTTCAAAAAATTTTTCCCCAATGATTGAAATGGAAATTAAAACTCTCATTAGGAGGAATTAAAGCAAATCAAAACAAATTCTCTCACTTTTTTTTTTTTTTTTTTTTTTTTGAGACGGGTCTTTCTCTGTTGCCCAGGCTTGAGTGCAGTGGTGTGAAAACTGCTAATTGCAGCCTCAACCTCCTTGGTTCAAGTGCTCCCCCTGCCTCAGCTTCCCATGTAGCTGGGACCACAGGCACGCACAACCATGGTTGACTAACTTTTTGAATTTTTTTGTAGAGACAGAGTCTCGCTACGTCGCCCAGGCCAGTCTCAAACTCCTGGGCTCAAGCAATCCTGCCTTATCTCCCAGTGTTGGGATTACAAGCCTGAGCCACCACACACCATGTTAAGTGGTTTAGGAGCCACAGAAAGGTGAGGAAGGGCAGTGTAGGGTAAGTAACACTTGGCATCAAAGGTGTTCTGCATTTCTGCTTTGTAAAGGATAAAAATATTTGAGGGGCAGAGAGTGTATCTTTTCTTCTCCTACTAATTTCAGAGTTGTTGGATACAAAACTGCAGTCCGAGTATGTCAGGAGTGGAATCTTCTTTTTTCTTTTTTTTTTTAGAGCTAGGAGTTGAATCTTGCTGTCATTATGTTATTCCAAACATTAAGGCTGTGCTTAGCAATAGTCTTAAGCATTGTCATATACACCTGGGAAGTCAACATACAATTGTTGAACCGATGTCAGTGTCTTAAAGGCAGTGGGGAATAAGATACACTGGAGAAGTTCTCTTCGGGAGAGGAATAAAGAAGGTCAAATACACATTGATGGAATATCCAGAGATTTGTGCAGCCTAAGTCTTAAAATTTAATTTGATTTTTAAGTATGTTTATTTTCATTTTTGTTCTGTTTTAGGTTGGTTCTGTAGAATCAGTGCCTGAAATAGGAATTCAGGTGACAGTGATTTATTTACTGAGGAAGTGATCTTCAGGAAAAATCCCTTAGTGGAGGGAGTGAAGAAGGAAAGAGAAGAGAGGGAAGAAGGGAAGGAGAAAGAGCCAGGCAAGGATGTGGTATCAGATGAAGGCTGGGCATGGTCTGATACATGGAAGCTGGGTATGTGTGTGGGGCGTGGGGAGCTGGGAACTTTAGAGTATTCACTGCATGAATGGCAAGGTTGTTGACCTTTTGTACTCCAAAATCACTCAGTCATTAACTGGTGGCTATGACTAAGGAGGCTGTGGTAAAGCAGATTTTGCCAGCTGAGGGCAATTCCTGGAGAAGGGAGCAGCTGTGAGCTCTTACCTGCCAACACAATGGGATTCTACCCTTGCACCCAGGGTTAAGGGGAGATACTTTTCACATAACAGCACCAAAAGAGTTTGCTGAAGCACTGTTAAGAAAATAGACGTTATAGGAATTATAGCAGTAGATTCTGACTTTGCCTTTCTTTTGACACAGGTTGTATTTCCTGTAAGACAGTAAAGTTAGAAATGATTTAACTGGATAGAGATGGAATTTCTCTATTGATTTATATTGAAACTTATGGCACCTTGTACTTTATCACCAGTTGCTTTACCTCTGATTATAGCTTCTGCCATCCACAGCTCATCATGTGCCTGAGGTTGGAATGCCTGGAAGTGACAGTTCATGATAGGAACTTATTTTAAATCAAAAGCCAGATCCACTTCAATTTCTCTGACAATGGGCTCTTCAAATGCTCTGAAGAACAATAGTTTCAGAAGTTAGGGTTCTCTGGCCTTGTGAATTTCTCTCCTAGCAAGGATTACTGAAATTTCATTAAAGTCTTTCTGTGGTCTTTGCTGTATCCAAAATAACTTGTATTTGTTTGATTGCTTTAGTTGCAATATATCCAGTCTTTGGAGATTCTGTCATCCATGATTAGATGTGAAATTTGTCACTTGTAAAATTCCAGCAATGCCAATAATTAATCAATGATTACTACTACAGTTTCTAAAAAGAGTGGGTTCCAAAAAAAAATGTTCCTTTGAAAATCACCTCCGTTTTAAATCTCCAGGTTTATTTTATTATTTGTGAATGCTTCGAATCAAAAAAGGCCTTCTAATATATATTAAGATTCATTGATCCTCCTGTAATCTGTTTAAAGGCTAGAAGATATGATACTATTCTGGTACATATGTCTTAATATATATGTGTTGCAGAATGATTGGATTCCAATTATGTTTAAAATATCTAAAATGATTAAAACATATAACCATCTTATGGAATGTTTAGACATTAGAGGACAAACCTTAATAATTCATAATCTTACTGTTCATGTCATTTTGTTTTTAAATATTCCCTTCCAAGCTTATTTTGTTCCTCAGAGTTGTAAATAAAATTTACACTTAGCACTTATGTCATGAATGTGGCCCATATCACATATTATCTGCAACAACCATTTGAAAAATATTATTCTGTTTTTTGAATGGAAACATTATGTATGTTCATTGGAGAAAATGAAAACAATAAAAAAGTCAATCCTAGTACCACCGATCCCTTATTCCCCTTTGTCCACTTATGATCCCAGGGCTCACAGTGTGGACCTTGTCTTTGAGTGTGGCTGGCAAAGAATATGGCCCTGACGACCTCTCTTGGGCCCTCCTGAGGCTGAGATTTGGTCGCAGGTACTTCTTAGGGGGAAATCTTGGTTGGTTCTCCTAGCAAATGTCTGAAAATCTATACTTTAGCAGATCTGCCTACCTATAGCCGTTTGAGGTTGTTGACTTTTCCTTAGCCACTGTCAGAAAAGGCTGATTCTTTTTTAAATTTTTTAAAAGTGTTGTTATTTTGTTCCTTTTATTTTTAGTTGACATGTCATAATTGTACATATTTATGGCATACAGAGTGATATTTCCGTATGTGTATACAATGCATAATGAGCAAGTCAGGGAAATTAGCATCTCTATCACAAAGAATTCATTCTTTTCTTTGCATTGAGAATATTCAGAATCCTCTTTTGGAGCGTTTTGAAAATATACAATAAATTGCAGTTAATCATCTTCATCTTACAGTGCTGCAGAACACCAGAGCTCATTCCTCCTGTGCAGCTTCAATTTTGTAGCCCGTTAACCAACCTCTCCCTATCCTCTCCTCCTCCCCTTCCCAGCTTCGAATACCTACAGTTCTACTCTCCACTTCCATGAGTTCAATTGTTTTTTAGCTGCCGCATATGAGTAAAAAACATGTGGTATTTACCTTCCTGTGCTTGACTTATTTCACTTAATAAGTCATTAATAATTAATAACATGACTCATCCCTGTTGCTGTGAATAACAGTATTTCATTCTTTTTTTAGAACAGTATTCCATTGTGTATGTATACCACAATTTTCTTTATCCACCATCTGTTGATGGACATTTATGTTGATTCCATATCTTGGCTATTATGAATAGTGCTGCAGTAAACATGGGGTGCAGCTATCCCTTTGATGTATTGAGTTCCTTTCCTTTGGATAATCCGTAGTGGGATTGCTGGATTATATAGTAGTTCTATTTGCAGTTTTCTTTTTTTTTTCTTTTTTTTTTTTCTTTTTGAGACGCAGTCTCCCTCTGACGCCCAGGCTGGAGTGCAGTGGCGCGATCTTGGCTCACTGCAAGCTCTGACTTTCGGGTTCACGCCATTCTCCTGCCTCAGCCTCCCGAGTAGCTGGGACTACAGGTGCCTGCCAGCACGCCCGGCTAATTTTTTATATTTTTAGTAGAGACGGGGTTTCACCGTGTTAACCAGGATGGTCTCAATCTCCTGACCTCGTGATCCGCCCGCCTCGGCCTCCCAAAGTGCTGGGATTACAGGCCTGAGCGACCGCGCCCGGCCCTATATGTAGTTTTTTGAGAACCCTTCATACTGCTTTCTATAATGGCTATACTAATTTACGTTCCCATAAACAGTGTTCTTGACTGTTCTATTTCTACCATGTTGTTACATCAGCATTGGCTCTTGTCGTTGGTTTGTTTCCTTAGAATTGCCAGGTAGAAACTGGAAATTCTAATTGACTCAATTGTTTTTATTTCAGTCATATAATCTTCTGGCCAAGTCTTACAGGTAAGTACACAATGATAATAATTTATTATATATTTAAAAATAAGATATGCTCAATATGTAACCTACACATAATAATTTTGTCTGTTACGTCTCTTTAGGAAGAGAAAGTAATACAAATTTTCTGCGGAAAATTCCTGATACACAGGCTGATAGCTGGTTCTCTTTTTGTTACACTCCAAGATGAGATGATTAAAATTATAACTTTAGAAATCTCTTAAACAAATGGTTATGTGGCTTTGTTTTTCTTTTGGGATTTAGCCTGTTTATGTGTGTGTGTGGTTTTCGTGTGTTCTTTTTGGTTTTAACAGTAGTGTTTATGCTTAAAATTTGTAAGAGATATTTACAAATAAAATACTATCTTCATTATGCACTTTGCAAAATATTCCCAGTTTATTATATAATATTTTGTAGTATGTATTTACTATTCAATAATTATTTATACAGTTTCCATTCTTTTTAAATAATGGCATTTACAACAATTTAGACTTAGCTGTGTATGGAGGTGATGAGACGTCACTGTCAGGTAACTTTTCTCCACCTTGATTTCTCTATTCCTGAGTTCCTGATTTCAATCTGTCTCATGGTTACCTAGAATATGTCTCTAAATTGTTTTTTAAAGGTAAGTAACATATGTTTGCTTTATGAGGGTATTTGAGAATGCTTTGTTGTATAATATGTGAAACATTCAGTTTTGTTTGTTCTAGAATTTCTGTTTATAACGTTTTACTTCTCACAAATCTGTAGTCTTGTTTCATAGTGTTCTTACAAATAATAAAGCAGAAGAGTCTATGGCGAGTTTTTATATTTTTCTTTTGTTTTTCTGCATGGTTGCTTGTATGACTTTTTTTTGGATTTGATGCTAAAGTTTTATTTACCAGGGTATGTTAGGTTTTTTCCCCTATTTTTTAAATTTTGTTTCTGGAAAGTTGAAAGTTTTTTGAGATATGAAGATTGTAGCCTTCATCTCAGGGGTTATATAATATTTATGAAATATGATGTATTAAAAATATATATATCATATATTTAAAAATATATTTATTTTTTTTGCAGTCTCTTTTTCAGTGATGTCAAATAGCCTATCATAGTTTCTCTTGCAGTTTTCATCTCTGTCTTATTTCAGTGCATTCTGGTAGTTGTAGTAAATTGGTTAATTTCATATCTTAGATGAAACCTTCCGATGTATTTTGGCTTCTGTAAGGCTGCTTTTATCCATGGCATTTCTAATTTTTTACATTTTTTTCTGTGTCTTATTCAGCTCTGTTTTACTATTTTATCATCTTTTCTTTTTCCCTATTTTAAGTACTTCATCTTTCATAGAATTTTACTGTAAACTTATTAATACATCATAATTTACCTCTGTTTTCTTAGGAAAGATCAATACCAAGCAATATTCTTTTGCTTCTTCAACTTCGCACAGTAAAATCCAGGTGTGATATTGGATTTTGTTGGTACACCATTGCAGCCTGGTATTCATCAGAAACGTAGTCAGAAGCTTTGTTTGTGTCCTCTCACTGTCCATAAGGATGTTATTAAAATTCTTTTCTAGTATGTTTTGCAGAAGAAATTGTTGATAAAAGGTGACGTTATCAGTTCTATGATCCAGTGCCTGGGATAAGGGGAAATAAACAGACTTTATTTTAGTACAGTTTGTTCTCTGTAGACAGCTATGCTTCTTTGGCAAAGGCCAGCTTTCATATGTAATTTTTTACTGAGCCTTCATTCTCAGCAGAATGTGAGCGGGCAAGGATGGTGTCCACCATCATCCTGGAGGACGGCCTACCATGTCAGGGAAAGGCTCCACCACTGGGCTTCTTATTTCACATAGTTGTGTCACAGGGCGAACCTCAAAGTTGGGGTTCAGTTTGAGAAGTCATATAGGTTCTTCGCTTTGCACAGGAAGGAGTTCAAGAGTGAGCAGACAGAGTTAAGTGAGAGCAAATTATTAAGACATAAAAGAATGAAAGGGTGGCTACTCCATAGGCTGGTTGACTATTTTTATGATTATTTCTTAGTCACATGCTAGACAAGGGGTGGATTATTCATGAGTTTTCCAGGAATGGGGTGTGGAATTCCTGGAACTGAGGGTTCCTCTTCCTTTCAGACCACGTACAGTAACTTCTGGATGTTGCCATGGTATTTGTAAATTGTCGTGGTGCTGGTGGGAGTGTCTTTTAGCATGCTAATGCATTATGATTAGGGTATAATGAGCAGTGAGGACCACCAGAGGTGGCTTTTTTTGCCATCTTGGTTTTGGGAGGTTTGGCCAGCTTCTTTACTGCATCCTGTTTTATCTGCGGAGTCTGCTGAACTCCTATCTCACAGCATTTGCCTCTGAGTACAGCAGATGTCAACAAGGTTTTGAACTGTTTGCTCTCAGTTCCATATTCTTCCTGTCCCCCCAGGATTCATTATGTAAATGTATGATTTTCAAAGAATTTGCTAGATCTTTAGGAATTTATGTGGAACTACCTCAAAGATTGCGCCACGTGAATGTCACCTTGATTTTCTGTTCAATGTTCTGCAATTACTCCTCTATTTTATTTTTCTTTCATCACTTTTATTGGGATTTGAAGGAAACAGTAAGATCCTCGTACCAAAGTTATAGTTAGTCTAGAAGTACTCTATTATTTTTAATAGCAACATATTGTGTTACCAATTGGATGTCCTTAATATTTTAAAGTTTTTGTACATTAGATTGGGTTTACTATTTGCACAAATATATATTTTTCTAATATGTAAAATTTTGATCCAACAAATTTATTTTTCTTGAGCCTCTTTTTTTGCTGTTTTTTGTTTGTTTGTTTGTTTGTTTAGGTACCTAGTAATTTTTATTTCCTATAATTTTCTTTGATGGTAAACTTTTTGAGGAATGAAATTCATGGTTTCTTAGTATAGCCTCCTATGCCCCAAAAGACAAATAATATATATTAAAAGAATGGATTGCTTGTCTCGAGTTGCTATTTGGATGCAAATCAGCCCACTAGAGCTCTGAAAAGTGTTACTTGCTCTCTGTCACATGCTCTGATTTTCAAGTGCAGGACAGGCTCATTTGCCCTTCAATTGGCCTCCCCATCTGGGAGTCCCTTCTCATCTGCTTGTCATTATTTTTGGAGAAGGAAAGCACATGCCATTATTTGCAAAAGCTCGGGCTTGTAGGCCACTCATCAGAACATTGACCATTGACCTTTAACTTGAAATGCTTCTTATCAAACATGCAACGGAAACTTCTATTTTCCCTCTGGCATTCAAATCTATGTAATTTCAAGAGTTCTACAGAAATGAAATGTAAAGAAAATACCCTGACCTCCTGTGTTAACCAACCTTATACAAGAAGCATATAAATGTACATTCCCTAAATCTCTTAGGATTGTAAGCTGTAGAAAGTAATAAATTGCCTTATTTGGTTCTCTTAATTCTCCAAAGGTTTGCAGAGACTCAGAATGCCTCTATTTTTAAAGTTTTCAGGGCCTTGTGCTATCATTTCACACATCTCCAAAGGCTCATTGTGTTATGTGATGTATCTTTCATTTGATGTATTACCTTCCATAATTGTAGCATATGTTTTCTGTGCCTATTAAATCAAAATGAAAATATCGGAGAAAATGAAGATTTTCCCTAATGATTTGCTTATGTTCACATATTGTTTGTTGTTCATATCCAACACCAACCATGCCTATTTTTTTTTCCTGGAGTTATTTTATTGTTGTCTATGGGCTTAGTTGCTGATTGGTTTGTATCAAAGTATGCTAGAAACATTCAAAATGGAATTGCAGAACCAGAAAATATCTGGAAGAAAACCAATTAATTGGACTATTTAGCAAATTCGCAAAAGTGATTAGGAATGGAACACACTTTGTAAGCCCCATTTTTCTTTTTTTTTTCTTTTTTTTTTTTTTTTTTTTTTATTATTATACTCTAAGTTTTAGGGTACATGTCATGGCACATGTATACATATGTAAGCCCCATTTTAAACTGACATTTAGATCCTCCGTTTTTGTGGGGGCAACTTCGGGTTGACAGACAATGGGAAATAAATAGCATTCTGTCTTGAAGATTCTAAGGATGTAGTTTTATCCTTATACTACAGAAAGCACTTTGTGAGTAGCACATGTTAAACCCAGCTCATAGAACTTTTTTTAATGTTATTATTATTATAATTTTTTAGAGACACGGTCTCACCATGTTGTTGCCCAGGTTGGAGTGCAGTGGCACGATCATAGCTCACTGTAACCTCAAACACCTAGGCTCAAGCAATCCTTCTGCCTCAGACTCTTGAGTAGAGAACCAGGCTTTTATAAGAGTTTGTATGGCCCAAATACCTCTCTTCATTGTGGTGGGATTTGTTCCTTCCCCTTGGTTTTGCTTCCTTGCACCACTGTAAGAGCTGTTAATCACAATACGTAATACACATTGAGGCTATTATCCTGGGGAAGTTTTGATATTTGTTAGGCATCTTTTGCAGGGATCACTCCCTTCTTTAATCATGCTTCTCCCTGAATTCTTTCTCTCAGAACTCCATGACATCGATATGGTCAAATGAGCCTGGGGAAGTTTTCTGCAACTTTAGAAGCCAAATATGGTTAAGGTTAGGACACAAAAGAAATGACAGAATGAGATGCTCTAGTGAGAAAACTATTTTTATTGGTTTATGTTTTTATGCCTCTTATCACCATCAGAATATTAAAAGCTATAGGGTCAGGATCAAGTAGTGAGCCTAGGGAATGATACAAATGAAAGCTCATGTTTATTGCATGCTCATTACCAGCTAGTAATTTTCTAAGCCTTTCCCATTTGGTAAAATATTTAATTATCCAAAAACTTGGTCTCATCTTCCTTATGTGTGCTCTAGGAGCAAATGGCATTCTTGACCCATCTGATCCAGTCCTCTCTCAAGAGTGAGAGAGAAGACAAGAATTTGGAGCCCAATCATGATTAGTGTTGAGAAATGTCTCTCTGCCCACTCGCCTCCTCTGCATTTATTCTTTTTTTTTTTTTTTTTTTTTTTTTTTTTTGAGACGGAGTCTCGCTCTGTCGCCCAGGCTGGAGTGCAGTGGCGCGATCTCGGCTCACTGCAAGCTCCGCTTCCCGGGTTCACGCCATTCTCCTGCCTCAGCCTCCCGAGTAGCTGGGACTACAGGCGCCCGCTACCATGCCCGGCTAATTTTTTGTATTTTTAGTAGAGACGGGGTTTCACCGTGTTAGCCAGGATGGTCTCGATCTCCTGACCTCATGATCCACCCACCTCGGCCTCCCAAAGTGCTGGGATTACAGGCGTGAGCCACCGCGCCCGGCCCTCTGCATTTATTCTTTGGCCCCTTTTAGGGAGGTAATGTGTAGGCTAAAGGTTTGAGGACTTAAAATTTTGGCCAATGTTGTCTCTATCTCAGAGATGTTCCTACTATGGAGGTTTAGAAAAATGTGCAACTCTGAGGCTATACTAAATTCTCTCTACAAAAGCATCTTTTTTACACGTTATTGTAAAGGAAACCTCTTAGCTTGATTGCAATCTTTAGCCTCGGGTATAAACAGATGAAAGACCTTGTGATCAATTTTACTTCAACTCAGAAAAAGTTGGTACCTTGATTACTTTCTTTTCCTTTAGTCAACATTAGAGGAAATTATGGAGAATAACTTTTTTCTTTTCTAAGGGTTTTCTGAATTTATTTGTCAGCAGAGGTTATTTAATGGCCATGTCATAGCCTCAGAATCTATAATTCATCTCTCTTGTAAAATGTCTCTTAAAATACTATTATGATTAATACATGCTGAAAATAAATATATAGATGTTCCTTGACTTACCATGGGGTTATATCCCAGTAAATCCATGGTAAGTTGAAAATATCATTAAGTCAAAAATGTGTTTAATACACCTAACCAGACATCATAGCTCAGCTTAGCTTATCTTAAACATGCTCGGAACACTTACCTTAGCTCACCATTGGGCAAAAGCATCTAATGTGAAGCCTATTTTATCATAAAGTGTTAAATATCTCCTATAATTTATTAAATATTATACTGAAAGTGAAAAACAGAAGGGTTGTATGGGTATTTGAAATATGGTTTCTACTGAACGCATATTGCTTTTGCACCATCGTAAAGTTGAAAAATTGTAAATTGAACCGTCTTAAGTTGGGGACTGTCTGTATATGCTTAAATTATTCCTTACAGATTCTCACCTGGGCTTCAGTAAACGAATTTTGCATGGAGAGTTTCAGATGATGTTCAGTGACAAATTTGTACCTCAGACAACTTGGGATTCAGAAGAATATTTTGCTGCGACATTGGATTAACTCAATTATGTAGTAATTAACAAGATCTACTTCAAGTATGAGGATTTCAACACATGCACATATACACTTACCACCTAGAGTTTTTAGTGGCTGGAAAGCAGCGGAAATCCTCTTGAAGGGGAACTTTGTCATCAGAGACCAAAGAAACAGGTCTAGTAATTAGTCCAAAGTTATTGTGTGGCAATAGCTGGGTAAAGTGTCCAAGAGCAGGAATTTATTTTTGTTCAGGACTCTGTTGGTTTCTTGTATTATACCATAACCATAACATTAAATGCCCACTCGTTACACTGCATTGACATCAGCTAATGCTAAGCTTCTCTCCTGCCTGAAGTGTAGCCCTTTCTGTTTTCAATACCACCATCCTTCTTCTTTGCTTGCCTACACTTAGAGGAACACTTTCATCACTTACCAGGTAGACTGAGAAAAATGTGGCCTTGGCCCTTTTTGAATGGCATCATTAAAGGTATGCAGAAATTTAAAAGTGATTTTGCACAAACACATGGGCTTGTGATTTCAGGAAATATTTAGTTGACTTCCTTCCTGGAGATTCTAGGCCATGGAGGTGCAGCAAAGTTAACCAGAGGGTAACAGTCAATTATAGCCACGTTCATAGCAATACTACTTGCAACAGTGCTAAACTGGAAACAACCCAACCCAGTAGAATGGGTAAGTCGTTATGTATTCATACAATGGCATAATTCAATCACAGAAAAATTTTTAAAATGCAGTGGCATGGATAAAGCTGACAAACATAATAATGGGTAAAAGGACCCACACACAAAAAATATGCACCATAGGATTCATAATAATGGCTAAAAGGACCCACACAAAAAAAATATGCACCATAGGATTCCATTTATATGTATTTCAAAAAACAAGCAAAACAAACCAATTCTTTTAGATCTTGAGATAGTGGTTACCATTGGAGGCTTCTGTCTGGAAGGGGACACACTGGGGCTACAGGAGTTCAGTAATGCTCTGTTTCTAGGTGCTTACCTCGTGGATGTATTCACTTTGAAAATCCATTGGGCTGAACTTTCTTATTTCTTTGTTATGCTTCAGCAAAGAATTTTACATTAAAAAGAAGGAAGAGAAAGCAAGCAAGCAAGCAAGAAGGGTGGTAATGAGAAGCTGAGAGCAGTGTGCCAACTCGCAATGCCATCTTCGCTGACATGTAAAAATAGTTGTGTTTTAACAAGTGTGCTTTGCTTAAATGAAATAGGTATGTACTCCCATTTACGTGTCATGTGATGGACAGTTGCTTTTGTTTTTGGCAAATTTTTAAGAGGGAAATTGAGTTGAGCCCAGTGGCATAAAGCAAGAAAGAGGACCAATTCATTAAGGAGCCCATCTGATGACATACCTAGGTTAATAGCAAGAAACTACTAATTAAAACTACTAATGATACTAGCCCCATTGGCCTATATTTTCTGCATAATTCTTGATTTGTATCCTCTTCTAACTAAATTGCCTTGCTGAATATCATTGCACATGTGTTCATTGTTTGTTTGACAGAAAGGGAAGGCCGGGTGCAGTGGCTTATGCCTGTAATCCCAGCACACTGGGAGGCCAAGGTGGGTGGATCACGAGGTCAGGAGCTTGAGATCATCCTGGCTAACACGGTGAAACCCCGTCTCTACTAAAAATACAAAAAATTAGCCAGGCGTGGTGGCACGCGCCTGTAGTCCCAGCTACTCGCGAGGCTGAGGCAGGAGAATGACGTGAACCTAGGAGGTGGAGGTTGCAGTGAGCCGAGATCGCGCCACTGCACTCCAGCCTGGGTGACAGAGCAAGAAGACCCTGTCTCAAAAAAAAAAAAAAAAAAAAAAAAAAAAGAGAAAATCTCTGCATGGATAAAGAATATCAATATATTCTCTTGGCAAATGATTAAGGATATCTTATTAATTCACAGTAGATTTTTTTGTTGAAAATGTGTGAATGCATTTTATGCCTTCACTCGCCTTTTTTTTTTTTTCTGGGTGGACTTTTGGGATTTTTCTAATGGACTTCCTTTCTTAGAACATTTCTAGATTTACAGAAAAATTAAGAAGCCAGTAAAGAGGATTCTCATATAGTCTGTGTGCACTTTCCCCTATTATTAACATCTTACATTAGTGTGGGTCATCTGTCACAATTAGTGAACCAATATTTGTATATTGTTATTAACATATACATCCACAGTTTATTCAGATTTCTTTAGTTTTTTACGTAGTGTTTCTTTTTCTGCGCCAGGATCCCATTCAGGATACCACGTTACGTTTTGTTGCCGTGTCTCTTTAGGCTTGTCTTAGCTGTCACAGTTTCTTAGACAACTCTTGTTTTTGATGCCCTTGACAATTTTGAGGAATCCTGGTTAGATGTTCTGTAGGTTGCCCAATATTGGAATTCGTCTGATTATTTTCTTATGATAAAACTGGTGCTATAGTTATTGGAAGGAAGAACAGATATAGCATCATTTTCATCTCCTTATATCAAGGATGCATACTATCGACATGACTTGTGATAATTGATGTTGACCTTGACCAACTGGCAGAAGTAGTGTCTGTTGGGTTTCTTTACTGCAAAGTTCCTCTTGCTGTCCTCTCTCCTTGCTTTGAATTGGAAGAAAACCACATATTGAATTACCCTCCGCTGTATAAGAGTGAACTCATGCTATTTGAAGCACAAAATTTTCTTGCTTTTAAGAAGATAGAAATTATAGGGGCATAAATGGCAAGATCAACCAAGTCTTGAACATCAAATTGATGTTTCTTGTGCCATTTCCCTATGGGGTTATTTCTTTTAGAATCACTGAGGTGGGTGATTTGAGGAATAGATACTAGCTATCATACTGCCTGGCATTTTGAGAATATTTGGGTAATTAAATCTTAATTCATTTAATCTTTTTGAATATGATTTTGAATTATCTACAAAACCTGCCTGATGCATAGATCTTTTAAAATAATTGGTGGTACTAATACCTCTATGTCAGATTATTGCATGTTATACAAAAATATCAAAATTATTACCTTTATAATAATGCTTATACCTTTTATAAGTATCAGGTGAGTTACATTTTGAGAAGATTTACCTGAAAAAGACAGGACAATCCTGCTAACAGTGAGAAAGCTTATCCTGTGTGCTGTAGAAGGGGATCTTATCTGTGTTACATATTTTTGATGAAATTAAAATACTTCGGAAGGAATTCTGAGTGTCACAAACTGCTGACATGAAAAATGGAAGTGATTATAGGTTTAAACAGAAAAACTGATTATAAGGTTTCTAAAATTGAGCCAGAGGATTTTGAGTAAAGCTTTATGAATCATAGCATTAGACAACAAAGTTTATCACTTTTTCATAGTAAGTTCACAGTGATTTTCCATTTTATGTTTTAGTTTATGACACAGCAGAATTCTTGACAATAAATCTCTTAATTCCTTTAGAGTAAATAGTTCCCATTACATCTAGAAATGCAGAAATATACTTACACAATAAAACAGTTCTTTTAAAAACAATTATGTTTATTCAAAAAAAGCTAGACGAAATTAAATCAGGCTATTTTAATTGATCATAATACAATTTTAAAGATTAAAACCAAGTATTAAAAGACAAAGTAGCCAAGAAATGATGAATTAATTAGTAAATAATATGATTAGCTCAAAATGCTCTTATATTAATAACAAAACCATTTTTTCTGCTGACATTGATTATAGCTAAGTTGACATTGTGAGAGTTAAATGTGGTTTATTGAAACCTGAAATAGTTGAGTTGCCTGGTCTAGTAATGGAGTTAAGTTCACTTTATTTGAAGGTACTAAGCTTATTGCATAAGTAAAGCTGGCAGAGTTATACTTGCCATACTTGCAGTTAACAAATTTAAATGCCTTCCTGGTGAAAGAGTGCTGGTTAACTGAGCCCTGTCAAATTTTTTATTCTGGCTGCCTCCATTGAAGTTGGCCAAGCTTGTGGCTGGTGATGCCCCAGGCTTCCTTGTAGCTGAAGAAAACTGAAGAAATGAGGATACTACTTTATAAGTAGAAGAGAATACGGTTGCAAAGAGGCAGAAACCAAGTATACACACACACACACACACACACACACATACACACACACACACACTACACACATGTTGTTTTTAGGTGCCATTTCAGAGGCATTGTATCTGTGTATGTGTGAATACTTGGTTTGTGTTACTTTGCAACTTTATTGAAATAAGATCACACATAGCATATCTGCTTGCTTCCTGTATTGCAAAGCAAATTTTAAAGTTGTCGTTCTTCTGACTGAGGCTCACTAACATAGATAACATTGAGAAATAAATGGAAAAATGATCCAGTATTTTTATAATTTCATAAGCACAAAATGATGTAGTGGAAAGTATTCTAGATTTAGGAAAGTATTCTAGATTTAGGATTTAGATTTAGGTGTTTCACTCCTAGCTCTGGTGCCATTAGGAAGTCATTCAAATCTTTAGTGTGTCAATTTGTTCATTTAAAGAATACTTTTGGATTAGATAATAAGCCCTCAATAAGTAGTAGTATTATGTGCATTATATACACTGTCATATTTAGACCTCATAAGAGTTCTATGAGATGGTCTTCTGCAAATGAGTCAACTGAGGCTGAGCAGGCTTAAGTAGCTTACTCAAGATCGCCTGTTTTGAATGGGGCTGAATTCAGGAATGTAAATGAAATGTTACTTTACTCAAACTCAAAGTTAGCAAGTTATTTTTTAAAACTGTGTAATTAATGAAAGCATGTGTTGTGGATTGAATTATGTTCCCCCAAAATATACGTTGAAGTCCTAACCTTCAGGACCTTATGTGAATGTGACGTTATTTGGAAATACGATTTTGGCAGATATGATCAAGTTAATATGCAGTCACACTGAATCAGGATGGGTCTGAAATCCTGCAACCAGTGTCCTTATAAGAAGGCAACCGAAAGAGTCAGAGATGCACATGTGAAGACAGAGGCAGAGTTTGAAATTATGCATCTGCAGGCCAAGGAACACCAAAGTTTGTCAGCAGCAAACAAGCCAGGAGGAAACAGACTTCCTCCCTCAGAGCCTCCAGAAGGAACCAACCTTGTGGGCATCTAGATTTTGGACTTCTGGCCTCCAGAACAATGAGAGATTACATTTCTGTTTTGTTTTTTTTGTTTTTGTTTTTTGTTTTTTTTTAATGTTTTAAGCCATTCTGTTTGTGGTACTTTGTTTCAGGAGCCCCAGGACCCTAACACAAAAGGTTTATTCTTAAAATTTATTTATTATTATTATTTTTTGAGATGGAATCTCGCTTTTTCACCCAGTCTGGAGTGCAGTGGTGCGGTCTTGGCTCACTGCAACCTCCACCTCCCCGGTTCAAGCGATTCTCCTGCCTCAGCCTCCCAAGTAGCTGGGATTACAGGTGTGCTCCACTACGCCGGCTAATTTTTTGTATTTTTAGTAGAGACGGGGTTTCACCATGTTGGCCAGGCTGGTCTTGAACTCCTGACCTCAAGTGATTCTTGACTTGTTATTTTGGACAACTTTGAAAGGGTCAGGTCATCAGTGGAAAGACTGAATGTTGTCAGATTACTGTTTTCCCTTTCTTCAAATCCATTGTTACTTTGTTGTTGGAATTCGGGAAGTTTCTTTTTGTCTGTTGGTAAGCATTCTTACAGAGTGAAGATGAAGAGAAAGCAAATCATTCTTAAGGTTATAGAATGTAAGAGAATAAACTGTCATTCTGTTCAAAGTGTAGTGTGTACATTTTAACAGGTAATATTTTTATTCTATTATCTCAAAAGGCTCTCATTACAAGTGTCATTGTTTCACAAATTTGGTGAGTTAATTTGGTTTTTGTTTGTTTGGTTTTGATAATACAGTAAGGAGACGTGCATTTGTCTTTTTCCTGAACTATCAGGAAAGATAAATGGTCTCCCTTTAGATGCCTTGTCAGCATTAAAGAAGTAAAATAGTGGCTTTCCACTCTGTTAGGGGGTGGTATAATCTCTGCAGAAAATTGATATTTCTCGTGCACTCTCAGAAAATATTGTCTGCAACTGAAGTTACAAAAAACCTCAGTCCATTTAAAACAAGGCAGCAACGTAACCAGAAATGGCACTTGAAAACATGACCAAATTTGACACATTGCACCATTAACGACACCGTCAGCCGCATTGAAGTTCATTTTGATGATAAGGCATCAGTGACATCTGCCCATTTTAACTTGTTAGGCTATTTCTTCCCACAGCAGCAGTACATCTAAATCACCTGTAATTTTTAAAAAAATATATATAATATAAATAAATTCCTGGGCCTTCCTCTGAGATTCTGATTCAGAGGTGTTGGGTGATGCCTGGGTGTATGTAATTTTGAAAACTCTATATGGGATTCTGATGTGCAGCCAAGGTTATGAACCAGGGCTATAACAAAAGTGATAATTGTTAATGAAAAAGAGGCTTCTCCTTTGGCTATGAATATAAGATAAAGTTCAGCATGCCAAAAGAGTCTTCTGGTTTTGTAGCAGAATTTTCATAACTGCTTATTTCTAATTGCCCTTGTGTAACTGGTGGTAGGGACCAGACTTAGAAGCTGATTTTTAACCCAAACTAGCCAACCTTCAACAGACCGTAATGATATATATCATTTATGTTAAATGATTAACTCATACATTTGAACATCTGGAGAACCAGGGTAAAGAATTGTGACAATCCTACTATTAATTAAAATAGGGTTTAGGCAATTAGGTTCTTTCAATTTATGATGACAATTGTACATTATTTCTCACTCTTTAAAATATATCAACATCAAAATGAATGTAACAAAATTCATATGTAACTAATAATTGAGTTGTAGCTCACAGGATGACACAGTGCTGTGTTGGCAGAAATTACATAATTTTTTAAAATTTTATTTTTTTCATATTTTTGAGTCATTATTTTTCCCCCAGATCTCAGATACATGTATATTTTTTGGCCACTGTGAAAGGAGTGATTGCTAGATCCTAGGTCAATAGGGTTTAATGTTAAAAAGATCCTGGGAGCATTAAAACTACCTCTGGAATTTGGTCCAAGATATTTGCTGATATCTTTCAAAACAACTTGATTGCTCCCCTCTCATTATGATGTGAAATATAATAGATTTCAATGAAACCCTAAATAGAGCATAAAGGGAATGTAAAGAGTTCTGAGAGCTGGATGCTGTGGCACTTGAAGACACAAAAAACTTGAGAAATAGCTTTATTTTCAGCTCCTTGCAATTAAAGTCATGAGGCATATGCACAGGATGGCTTGTCAGAGTTACCTGAAATGGCAGAATGCAATAATTAGATCAGAGCATCATCCAGCACAATAGCTGGGCTCCAATTATTAGACCAAACAGTAGCTGATGTGCATGTACAACATGCACACACGCATACACTGCTCTACACTGACCTGCTACTTTGGATATGCCAGCTCTGGAAATCTGAAGGAACATTTGTCTCACCTCATCAAATGTCAGTTACATAAGTGCAGTTGTTTTATTGTTCCAAGGAATCCGACTTTCCTTTTGAGAATCATAAAAGCTGCCTCTGGTGCAGCTGGATGGATTTGATGAACATTTCACTGAATATTGTATCATTTTTTGTATATGCTCTTAATTCTAAAATATTGGGCTATGCACATAAAATGTGCTCTCATTACAATAACAAACAGATCAGTTGAAAGGACACCTTTTGCCTAGAGCATTTTTGCAGGTCTGAATTTGAAGCTGGATGATGAATTGAAGAAGATACTTCAAAGGACAGATATATGGCATATCAAGACATGACACACACACACACACACACACACACATTCATGAATGCATATCGTGATGTTATGTAGTGCTTACTACTCAAGGTGATCAAATGTTTTATTATTGTTCTCGCCACTGACCAGCTATGTCTGTTCTGAATCTGATATTCCCTCTGTCATTCCCTTTATTGGATTCTGCCGAGTTATCAAATGTACCACAGCAGATCTGCTAAAAGTAAAAATGAGAAACTGTCTCTGATGGTATCAACATAGAAGCAATTTATTTTCTTTAGCTGTAATAAGGGAGGACATAACTTTCTCTTGTTACCAGAGGCTGTGCTGTTGAAAACTTATGGGTGATTCTATCATCGTTCTTGATATGATGAGACAGTGTTGTGATCTGGCCAAATGTGCAGACGCTGTAGCCACATTGCCTTGGATTGGGTTGCAACTCCACCCCTCACTGCTGAGCAATCCTGGACAAGTATATAACTCCTTGTGCTTCAGACTCCTCGCCTGTAAAATGAAGCTAATCATAGCACTTGCCTCAGAGAATTGATGTGAGGACACAATAGGCCAAGAACTGCTAAGCACTTAGTGTGGTATCTGGCACAATCAGAGAAGGTTAACCATTGCTATTCTGTGATTACTTAAAATATATTTTTCATGTCAATTTAAACAATATTTTTGCCTTTAATTTTCTTCTCCGTAATTTTAGTTGGTGAAAATAAAATTTGAGCCCATTAACTCATTCCATATATTATGAAAAATCAGCATAAAGGTAAAAGTATTAATTTCTGACTGAGCTCAAAGAGCAGACATTTATGCCACTACGCATGTGGGCAGGACACTGTAATGAATAACAAAATACATTAGCCAAAGAAAGACTAGGATGAGTAAGGGAATTTTCTTTCATATGAAACTCATTTTTCAAATATCTATCAATTCATTGAGTTAACAAGTTCAGCAAAAAGAGAAGTAAAGAAAATATAAATGAACAAGCAGCTGTTAGAGTCAGTTATGAACTGAGCAAATGAAGACGATTTCCTGATAATCTGCTGAGGTTTAGTTTTGAGTTTTGAGGAACATAGTCATCTTCATCTGAATAACTTTGAATATAACATCATTGACTTTCTGATCTATTAAATTAAAACGCGTACACTGTAGATAACATGGAAATGCAAAAAATCATAAAAAATACAATTTGCTTTATAATTTTGAGGTATTTTGATATAAAATTTAATACCTACTCACAGTTTAGACTCCATTTTATAAAATAATGTCATATCCTAGTTTTACTTTTATTCGAGTGTTGCATTAGGGAAGTTTGCCAAATATTCTATTGAAACATGATTTTTAACAGCTGATTACTATTCTAGTATGTGTCTCAATCATGATTATTATTGTCATTCTCTTTTATTGGGCATTTAGATTTTTAAATTTTTGCAATTGTAAATACAGTGTCAGTGAGCATTCTTTTATGAAAATCGCTTATCTCATCTATCATTGTTACCTTAAGGTGGATTTCTAGAAATGAAATTGCTGCAGCAAAAGGACTGCATAATGTAAACACTCTTGAGACAGATGACCAATTTGTTTCCTGCAGTTTGTTCGCATTTACACACTTCTAACAATATGGAGATGTATGTCTCACTGAAATCATGATGACAACAGGTATTATAATTTTTTAGACTATTTTAAATTTGATAGAAATATGTATATGTTCACTGTTTCCAGTTGCATTCTTGGATCTCTAGGTAGGTTTACTTTTAAATGGTTTAATAACTTTTCTTTCTTCTTTTTAGAGTTTTTTGCTTCTGTCTGCCAATTTTTCCTTTGGGGCACTCATCATTTTGATTACTTAAATATGCATCTTATGTAAGTGATACAAACTGCTAGTTTTTTCCTCACAATACATTCACCCTTTTTCATACATCATAGACTTTTGGACTCAGCACAGCTAAGGATTATATTTTCCAGCTTCCTATGTAGCTGGGTATGGACATGTGGCTAAACTATGGTCAATGACATCTGAATGAAAATGAGCTATGACATTTTGGGCTGTGCTTTAACAGCATGTGATACGGTCTTGTTCTCCATTCCCAGGGTAGAAACTGGAACCACTGTCTTGAATCAAAAGATGGAAGAAGCTTCTCTTGAAGATTAAAGGGACACAAGACAGAAGTTGTCTGTGTCCCTGAGGGCTTAGCAGAGGAGACTTGACCTACTTTCTTGGGCTTGTTGTGACATCTATTTTGTTTAAGGTAAACATTGTTTGTTTTAGGATTCCCTAAGGAGTCCAAAGCAACATTTGAACAATCACCAGCCTTAGTACAGTGTCTGGAAATGGGATGCCTTAACAGAACCTAAAACTTGATGCATAGTCTCAGTGGTCGGGTGGCAATAGCAAGGGTGCCGATATTGCAGGTTTGCCAGCAGGTGACACTTGCCATGTCATACCAGTATGTGTGGCAAATCCATTATCTGTGATATCTTGGAAGTCAGTTTGTATGCCTACAGAGCACATGTTAAGAAAAATGCAGAAATTTGATGTATGTTGGTTATTTTTACCTTTTATAGTAAAGTCCTATTAGTGAAATGAATTTGGGCTGTAATACATCATTTTGCTCGCTGAGATGAAAAGGTTGTCAACAGAATGAAATCTAATAATGGAGCCTCTGGGTTTTAAAATCCAGTGTTGAAAAAGCCAACTGCTTTTATTCCAAAATGAAGCCTTTGTATGAGATGGCTCTGAACAGATACTGTCGCTGGAGACAAGATTTCTAAGCCCAAACTCCTCACAAGCAGCTTCCCTGAATTTTTCTTTGACAGACCACAGACACCATCCAGAAACTAACAAATACTTTTCTAAGGGATATTCTTTTTTCCTTATTGTAAACGACATGTCAAAATGACTGCCACTAAATTGAAAGGGATAAGAGTAGTAAGAACACAGAGGCCAGTAAATAAATGATCAGAGCTTTCGGGTTTAAAAATGATCCCAGTTGAGAACTTCAGCTGTGGTAACGTGAATATGTAACCATCTAGAGGCAAATAGAACAGAAACTTTTGAGGGGTTGGCGCCAAAGAAATGAAAAGTCTGGCTTGTAGTAGCCTCTCGTTACTTGACTTCTGAAGCCATGGCTAAGCTTCAAAACCAGATTAATAGAAAGCAGTCGCCAAGACGTGACTTCAAAGTCTATGGCATATGTGACCATGGAGGAAAATGGACAAGAAAGACTATCATGGACAGTAAAGTCCAGAACAACAAAAAAGAACAGGTAAGGGGGCTCCTTTCATAGAATAAACCGAGAACTGAGTATATTCCAACTCCAAGCCAGGACACTTTGTCACAGTTTTCTCTTTTCTACTCCATAATTGTATTTTGGGTGTATACATGTGTGTATATGTATGCATATGTGTGTGGATGTGTGTGAGTCTGTGTGTGTGAGAGACAGTGTATGTGTGTGTGTGTGAATGACTTACCTCTTTGATTATAGCTCTTTGAACCACATGGAATTTCCCCATGAGGTCTGGATATGGTTCATGATGGTCCAGACTTCTATACACAATAAGGCAAGTTTTCTAGGTAGAAGCTACGACTCTCAATTTGTTAGCTTTCTGCAAATGTTCTCTATACATTTTTGAAAATACTTTCTAATCATTTCTTTACTCTACCTAATACATATTAATTGCATGCAATTAAAAGAAAAATTTATAAATTGGAAAGGTGGTTTCAAAAATAGCTTATTTCCTCTTGTCATTAGATAATTAATAATGTATATTTACATACTGTATGTTCATCACATAATACGTAGAAAAGCAAAAAGATAAAAAGGTCTTTTTTTAAATTTTTTTTATTTTTTATTTTTTTTGGATTTATTTTGTTATTCTTATTTTTTTTTATACTTTAAGTTTTAGGGTACATGTGAACATTGTGCAGGTTAGTTACATATGTATACATGTGCCATGCTGGTGCGCTGCACCCACTAACTCATCATCTAGCATTAGGTATATCTCCCAATGCTATCCCTCCCGCCTCCCCCCACCCCACCACAGTCCCCAGAGTGTGATATTCCCCTTCCTGTGTCCATGTGATCTCATTGTTCAACTCCCACCTATGGGTGAGAATATGTGGTGTTTGGTTTTTTGTTCTTGCGATAGTTTACTGAGAATGATGATTTCCAATTTCATCCATGTCCCTACAAAGGACATGAACTCATCATTTTTTATGGCTGCATAGTATTCCATGGTGTATATGTGCCACATTTTCTTAATCCAGTCTATCATTGTTGGACATTTGGCTTGGTTCTAAGTCTTTGCTATTGTGAATAATGCCGCAATAAACATACGTGTGCATGTGTCTTTATAGCAGCATGATTTATAGTCCTTTGGGTATATACCCAGTAATGGGATGGCTGGGTCAAATGGTATTTCTAGTTCTAGATCCCTGAGGAATCGCCACACTGACTTCCACAATGGTTGAACTAGTTTACAGTCCCACCAACAGTGTAAAAGTGTTCCTATTTCTCCACATCCTCGCCAGCACCTATTGTTTCCTGACTTTTTAATGATCGCCATTCTAACTGGTGTGAGATGGTATCTCATTGTGGTTTTGATTTGCATTTCTCTGATGGCCAGTGATGGTGAGCATTTTTTCATGTGTTTTTTGGCTGCATAAATGTCTTCTTTTGAGAAGTGTCTGTTCATGTCCTTCGCCCACTTTTTGATGGGGTTGTTTGTTTTTTTCTTGTAAATTTGTTTGAGTTCATTGTAGATTCTGGATATTAGCCCTTTGTCAGATGAGTAGGTTGTGAAAATTTTCTCCCATTTTGTAGGTTGCCTGTTCACTCTGATGGTAGTTTCTTTTGCTGTGCAGAAGCTCTTTAGTTTAATTAGATCCCATTTGTCAATTTTGGCTTTTGTTGCCATTGCTTTTGGTGTTTTAGACATGAAGTCCTTGCCCATGCCTGTGTCCTGAATGGTAATGCCTAGGTTTTCTTCTAGGGTTTTTATGGTTTTAGGTCTGACATGTAAGTCTCTAATCTGTCTTGAGTTAATTTTTGTATAAGGTGTAAGGAAGGGATCCAGTTTCAGCTTTCTACATATGGCTAGCCCGTTTTCAAAGGGAATGCTTCCAGTTTTTGCCCATTCAGTATGATATTGGCTGTGGGTTTGTGATAGATAGCTCTTATTATTTTGAAATACGTCCCATCAATACCTAATTTATTGAGAGTTTTTAGCATGAAGGGTTGTTGAATTTTGTCAAAGGCTTTTTCTGCATCTCTTGAGATAATCATGTGGTTTTTGTCTTTGGCTCTGTTTATATGCTGGATTACATTTATTGATTTGTGTATATTGAACCACCCTTGCATCCCAGGGATGAAGCCCACTTGATCATGTTGGATAAGCTTTTTGATGTGCTGCTGGATTTGTTTTGCCAGTACTTTATTGAGGATTTTTGCATCAATGTTCATCAAGGATATTGGTCTAAAATTCTCTTTTTTTGGTTGTGTCTCTGCCCGGCTTTGGTATCAGAATGATGCTGGCCTCATAAAATGAGTTAGGGAGGACTCCCTCTTTTTCTATTGATTGGAATAGTTTCAGAAGGAATGGTACCAGCTCCTTCTTATACCTCTGGTAGAATTTGGCTGTGAATCCATCTGGTCCTGGACTCTTTTTGGTTGGTAAGCTATTGATTATTGCCACATTTTCAGATCCTGTTATTGGTCTATTCAGAGATTCAACTTCTTCCTGGTTTAGTCTTGGGAGAGTGTATATGTCGAGGAATTTATCCATTTCTTCTAGATTCTCTAGTTTATTTGCATAGAGGTGTTTGTAGTATTCTCTGATGGTAGTTTGTATTTCTGTGGGATCAGTGTCGATATCCCCTTTATCATTTTTTATTGCATCTATTTGATTCTTCTCTCTTTTTTTCTTTATTAGTCTTGCTAGCGGTCTATCAATTTTGTTGATCCTTTCAAAAAACCAGCTCCTGGATTCATTAATTTTTTGAAGGGTTTTTTGTGTCTCTATTTCCTTCAGTTCTGCTCTGATTTTAGTTATTTCTTGCCTTCTGCTAGCTTTTGAATGTGTTTGCTCTTGCTTTTCTAGTTCTTTTAATTGTGATGTTAGGGTGTCAATTTTGGATCTTTCCTGCTTTCTCTTGTGGGCATTTAGTGCTATAAATTTCCCTCTACACACTGCTTTGAATGCGTCCCAGAGATTCTGGTATGTTGTGTCTTTGTTCTCATTGGTTTCAAAGAACATCTTTATTTCTGCCTTCATTTCGTTATGTACCCAGTAGTCATTCAGGAGCAGGTTGTTCAGTTTCCATGTAGTTGAGCAGATTTGAGTGAGATTCTTAATCCTGAGTTCTAGTTTGATTGCACTGTGGTCTGAGAGATAGTTTGTTATAATCTCTGTTCTTTTACATTTGCTGAGGAGAGCTTTACTTCCAAGTATGTGGTCAATTTTGGAATAGGTGTGGTGTGGTGCTGAAAAAAATGTATATTCTGTTGATTTGGGGTGGAGAGTTCTGTAGATGTCTATTAGGTCCGCTTGGTGCAGAGCTGAGTTCAATTCCTGGGTATCCTTGGTGACTTTCTGTCTCGTTGATCTGTCTAATGTTGACAGTTGGGTGTTAAAGTCTCCCATTATTAATGTGTGGGAGTCTAAGTCTCTTTGTAGGTCACTCAGGACTTGCTTTATGAATCTGGGTGCTCCTGTATTGGGGGCATATATATTTAGGATAGTTAGCTCTTCTTGTTGAATTGATCCCTTTACCATTATGTAATGGCCTTCTTTGTCTCTTTTGATCTTTGTTGGTTTAAAGTCTGTTTTATCAGAGACTAGGATTGCAACCCCTGCCTTTTTCTGTTTTCCATTTGCTTGGTAGATCTTCCTCCATCCTTTTATTTTGAGCCTATGTGCGTCTCTGCATGTGAGATGGGTTTCCTGAATACAGCACACTGGTGGGTCTTGACTCTTTATCCAATTTGCCAGTCTGTGTCTTTTAATTGGAGCATTTAGTCCATTTACATTTAAAGTTAATACTGTTATGTGTGAATTTGATCCTGTCATTATGATGTTAGCTGGTGATTTTGCTGGTTAGTTGATGCAGTTTCTTCCTAGTCTCGATGGTCTTTACATTTTGGCATGATTTTGCAGCGGCTGGTACCGGTTGTTCCTTTCCATGTTTAGCGCTTCCTTCAGGAGCTTTTTTAGGGCAGGCCTGCTGGTGACAAAATCTCTCAGCATTTGCTTGTCTGTAAAGTATTTTATTTCTCCTTCACTTATGAAGCTTAGTTTGGCTGGATATGAGATTCTGGGTTGAAAATTCTTATCTTTAAGAATGTTGAATATTGGCCCCCACTCTCTTCTGGCTTGTAGGGTTTCTGCTGAGAGATCCGCTGTTAGTCTGATGGGCTTCCCTTTGAGGGTAACCCGACCTTTCTCTCTGGCTGCCCTTAACATTTTTTCCTTCATTTCAACTTTGGTGAATCTGACAATTATGTGTCTTGGAGTTGCTCTTCTCGAGGAGTATCTTTGTGGCGTTCCCTGTATTTCCTGAATCTGAACGTTGGCCTGCCTTGCTAGATTGGGAAAGTTCTCCTGGATAATATCCCACAGAGTGTTTTCCAACTTGGTTCCATTCTCCCCATCACTTTCAGATACACCAATCAGACGTAGATTTGGTCTTTTCACATAGTCCCATATTTCTTGGAGGCTTTGCTCATTTCTTTTTATTCTTTTTTCTCTAAACTTCCCTTCTCACTTCATTTCACTCATTTCGTCTTCCATTGCTGATACCCTTTCTTCCAGTTGATCGCATCGGCTCCTGAGGCTTCTGCGTTCTTCACGTAGTTCTCGAGCCTTGGTTTTCAGCTCCATCAGCTCCTTTAAGCACTTCTCTGTATTGGTTATTCTAGTTATACATTCTTCTAAATTTTTTTCAAAGTTTTCAACTTCTTTGCCTTTGGTTTGAGTGTCCTCCCATAGCTGAGAGTAATTTGATCGTCTGAAGCCTTCTTCTCTCAGCTCGTCAAAGTCATTCTCCATCCAGCTTTGTTCCGTTGCTGGTGAGGAACTGCGTTCCTTTGGAGGAGGAGAGGCACTCTGCTTTTTAGTGTTTCCAGTTTTTCTGTTCTGTTTTTTCCCCATCTTTGTGGTTTTATCTACTTTTGGTCTTTGATGATGGTGATGTACAGATGGGTTTTTGGTGTGGATGTCCTTTCTGTTTGTTAGTTTTCCTTCTAACAGACAGGACCCTCAGCTGCAGGTCTGTTGGAATACCCTGCAGTGTGAGGTGTCAGTGTGCCCCTGCTGGGGGGTGCCTCCCAGTTAGGCTGCTCGGGGGTCAGCGACCCACTTGAGGAGGCAGTCTGCCCGTTCTCAGATCTCCAGCTGCGTGCTGGGAAAACCACTGCTGTCTTCAAAGCTGTCAGACAGGGACATTTAAGTCTGCAGAGGTTACTGCTGTCTTTTTCTTTGTCTGTGCCCTGCCCCCAGAGGTGGAGCCTACAGAGGCAGGCAGGCCTCCTTGAGCTGTGGTGGGCTCCACCCAGTTCGAGCTTCCTGGCTGCTTTGTTTACCTAAGCAAGCCTGGGCAATGGCGAGCGCCCCTCCCCCAGCCTCGCTGCCGCCTTGCAGTTTGATCTCAGACTGCTGTGCTAGCAATCAGCGAGACTCCGTGGGCGTAGGACCCTCCGAGCCAGGTGTGGGATATAATCTCGTGGTGGGCCGTTTTTTAAGCCGGTCGGAAAAGCGCAGTATTCTGGTGGGAGTGACCGGATTTTCCAGGTGCGTCCGTCACCCCTTTCTTTGACTCGGAAAGGGAACTCCCTGACCCCTTGCGCTTCCCAAGTGAGGCAATGCCTCGCCCTGCTTCGGCTCGCGCACGGTGCGCGCACTCACTGACCTGCGCCCACTGTCTGGCACTCCCAAGTGAGATGAACCCGGTACCTCAGATGGAAATGCAGAAATCACCCGTCTTCTGCGTCGCTCGCGCTGGGAGCTGTAGACAGGAGCTGCTCCTATTCGGCCATCTTGGCTCCTCCCCACAAAGTCTTAAATCTCATTTTTCATAGAAATTCATGGATCCTACTTAGGAAATGTCTTTCATAAAATTCAGATTGGGTAGGATGATATGCTTTTTCCATTTAATATATTTTGACGAATGTTTTTTAACTATTCTTTAATAATTTCAATTTAATAGATGTCTAGAATTTGATTATTGAGTTTTCTATGACCATAATTCACTTATTTCTGTCTTAGTAGATAATTTAATTTGTTTATAACATTTTGCCATTGAAAACAATGTTTTTTAAAAGTTTATTTGGATTTCAATAGCTTTCGAGGTACAAGTGGTTTATGGTTACAGGGATACTTTGGATAGTAGTGAAGTCTGAGCTTTCAGTGTGCCTACATCATGGGAACAGTGGGCAGTGTATCCAATGGAGGAGAAAACAGTGGTGCACTGTAAATCTTTGCAGCCAACCCCCTTGTTTATATCCTTCATCATTTCTTACATTATAACTGTAGTCACTGGATCAAAAGTTATGTTTATTTTATGGCTGTTTTCTTGGGAATTAACTGTTTATGTTCATTGCTACAGTTTTTACAGAAAACAGTTAATATTCTTGCTATACAAATAATGCTTGATATCAATAATTAAATTAAAAATAATGCCAGAAGAAATCAGTCCATAAATTTTCCCTGTTACCTTTTGATTGAGCTTATGATTTTAATAATTTTTTTGATCAAATCTGTGAAGAATTTCTGATATGCCTTTGTTTAATGAAGGGCTAAGGTTACATAAATATTCCCCTGTACTCTCATCTAGGTTGTTTGTGCTTTCTTATAAAATTCTCAATGATTATGGAAGTTATTATGTAAATTGTTTCGGGTTCTAACAGTTTTAATATTATCATTATTATGAACTGATTTGTTAACCACTCATCCCAAGCAAACATTTTTGATTAATTCATCCATTTCTTTACTTTTCCTTAATTTGGGTGGGCACATCATATATTAAATGTGTGGAACTCATATATCATCAAAGTTCCTCTTGCCCTTTGGGGACCCAGGTGTATTTTGTTCCTATCTTCACTGATTTGGTGTGTGCCCCTTTGGCCTCCCAAGCAAGGTATGTTCCCATTCCTAGCACTTCACTGCTTCATGGCCTCTCCTGCTGAGCTCCTGTTTCTGAACACAGAGCCCATTCATCAAACCAATTTAATTAAAAAGCAAAACTCATTAGTTTTCTGGATTTCCCTGAAATAGTCCTTTTACCCCAATAATTCATGTATTTCTTGGTGGTCTCCTGAGAAGAGATCATAGCTCATTGCAACTCTGAACTCCTTGGGTCAAGTGATCCTCCCACCTCAGCCTCCAGAGCAGCTGGGAATACACGTGCATGCCACCGCTCCTGGCTAATTTTCTAATTTTGTAGAGATGGTGTCTCACCGTGTGGCCCAGGCTGGTCTCAAACTCCTGGACTCCAGCAATCCTCCCACCTCTGTCTCCCAAAGTGCTAGAATTACAGGTGTGAGCCACTTAGCTTACAGTTTTATAAAATACTTGTTTATACTTTCTAACATATCCTTTATATCTAATTTATCAGTTTTCTTATTCGTTTATCTTATCTTACTTTACATGATAAGATATATTTTGTCTGAACTGCTTTCCTGTAGGCACCCAGGGAAGGTGAAAGCCTTAAATAACAGTATGGTTGTTTCAGTGTTGCTCCTAACTTTCTGAGGTAGAAGGTCTTGAAATCTTCTGTTAAGGTTTTCTGATCGTGGAATGAGCACTGAGCATTTACTAGTGAGCTGTCTTGAACTTATTCTTTCTTTTATTTCGATCCCGCATGTGCTTTATATAGCAACAATTCTTCAAAACTGGTAAAAGTGCATCACAAGTTTGCTAGTTTTCAGTGCTGATATAAGGTTTTACTTATTTTTATATTCACTTGTTTTCCTCAAGCATTGGTGGTGGTCGGGGGGAGTTGGAGTTATAGTGGGGGTTTGGTCATGAGTGTCACATGCTTTTCCTACATTGCCATTTTATCAGAATTTCCACATTTAACTTTTCTCAACTATTCAAACCAATTTTTGATAGCAGTGTCAAACTCAATTTTTTTCCCTAGTACTCAATTTTCCCAGCCCAATTTCTTCAATAATCGACAATTTTTGGGTTGATTGATGATGCTTCTTATATCATGTGGTAATTTAGTATGTAGTAGGTTCCATTCAGAACTTTTCCTGTTTGTGTTATTTTTGTACTAGGCATATGATATCTTTATAATGTGTATTACATATGCAGCCTGATTTCCAGACTCCTCTCTGTTTTTATAACAAATTTTGTTATGTCATGTTCCAAACATGATTCTCTCTATCAGCTTCTAAGCCCCAGGAGGGCTTACTCAATCTAGACTTCTTTATGCTAGCCCAGTGCCTTTTAAGTCATGGATGTTATGATGGTCAGATTTATTCATCATCATGGCTAAGCTATAGTACCCAGTTTTTCAATTAAACACTAACTAAAGTGTTTTGTAAATGTGGTTAACATCTGTAATCAGTTGACTTTTAGTAAAGGAGATTGTCCTTGATAATCTGGGTTGGCGTCATCCAATCAGTTGAATGGCCTTAAGAGCAAAACCAAGGCTTCTCTGAGGAAGAAGAAACTCTGAGTGTAGATTACAGTGTCACCTCCTGCGGGAGACTGTCCAATTTGTCAACCTGCCCTAAAGATTTAGCACTTGCCACCCGTACAGTTGTGGAAGCCAATTCCTTGAAATCTCTCTCTTTTTTTCTCTCTCCCTCCCTCTCCCTTTCTGTCTTCCTCCTTCTTTCCATCTATCTCTGTTTATCTCTATCATCTCTATCTATCTTTATCTCTATCTCTGTCTCATCTCTGTCTATATCTGGTAGAACTCTGACTAATACAAGTGCCTATAAATCTATAAATATTTCTTCAGTGTCAGAGAATATTTTTTTCTCTACACCTTTTACATGTCACTGGTGTAATTTACTGTATAAAAAGCCAAGTACTATTCTTATATCATCTTATTTGTTGTGAAAACTTGTAACTAGTCTTAGGATTCAAGCAGAGAAAAAGAGTATTTTTTTCTACCCACAACAATGGTAGATTAACTCATGCCAATACTTTCTGTACCAGCCAACAGCAACACAAAGAGTGTATTTTGTTCTCCCAAGGTGAGGTAACAATCATTCAAAAAATGAATAAAAGGCAAGAGTTTATTTTATATAAGTTCCATCATAATGTATTTATTGTACAACTAGCATAGACTTCCTCTTACAATAGTAGATCAGTGACTAAGTTAATGAGGATATTCACTTTAGCATAAATACCTCTTCACTGGTGTCTTCTTTCAGTAACCAGGAAACTCATATAAGAGTGTTTACACCTTTTATGATGAGAAGATAAAGCATGTGCCTTACTGAATCACGGGAATAGATGCACCAAAACAACTTTCACTATGTTCAAGTGAATGCAATTTGATGTGAGAAACAGTTCTCAGAATTGAGATACCATTTGCTTCTCTTTTTAGATTCAACACTAGACTCCTGTGGATACACAGTGCTTCCTCTTCTAGGGTAGATTCACATGAACGCATATCCACTCTAAAACTCATCGGTATGGCCTTTTTATAACTAAAACACGATTCCAGCAAGGCTGAAAACTCAAACGGCTGCTCCATAAATGTAGGCACATTATTAGAAATTGGTACCACTTGTGCTACACAAATGGGCAAACAGAGCACTAAACTTGTTCTTGCTCTCTTTTCCTGGGGTTGTAATGGCATTCAGAAATACAGTTTAAGGAATGATTATTAGAGAATAAAATCAATATCTCTACACCTTACCAATCTTCAAAAGAAATAAACTAAGAAATAGGAACAGAGATATTAGCTTTACACTGCATTGTTTTTCGATAAACATAAACAATAGTTATTTAACAATAAATGATTGTTACTTTAGGAAAAAATGCATTTGCTTCAGCTGGGTTAGTAACTACAGAAAGACGCATTCCTTTAACTACACTGTTGTAGTTGATTGTATGTCTTTGCAATAAATGTATTTTACCTTATGTTTGTGTTGGGGGGTGTGTGTGTGTGTGTATGTGTTTGAAAATTGCTTATGCTAAATGTTCTGTTAATTGAATATAGCCTATAGAAATAATACATTACTCCTTAATCTGAAGATAGTTTTCTGCACTTCATCTTCAAGTTGCTTTTCTGTACTACCTGTACAGAATAATTAGAGTTGTAAAAGTAGGAGAATTTACAGTTATGTGTGTGTGTGTATGTATGCGTGTGTGTTGGGGAGAATTTATAAAACACACAAAGTATGAACTATATTGAAAACATTATTTTTGTGGAAATTTTGTTGTTCAGATGCCTCTCAATTTTCATCTTGTTTTGGAAATGCTGCAAGGGCAAGAGGATCCTTTTAATTATTCATCATTTAGATGCGCTGAAAGATGAGGTTATTCTTCTGAAGACAAGAAGGCAACCCAAAGTATTAAATTTACATTTGGTCAGAAATGCCACACTCCAGAAGAATGAACATGCTTGGAAAATTTTAATTTTATTCATTTACTAACTTAGGTAACCCTCCACTTTTTTGTCTCCTTTGAGCTTCACCTCTATACTTCTGCAAATCTCCTCTTGAATTACCCTATAATTCCACAATTTTTCTCTTTAGTAAATTCAACAATTAATACGCAGGTCTCATTGTACTGCATTTGTCAGTAGCATTTGACAACAGTTAATTATTCTTCCCTCTTTAATCATTTGGCTTCCAGAACAGCACTCGTAATTTTCTATGATTACTCTCAGTGTTGTTTTCCCATTGCTGTGTCATAAGTTGCCGCAAATTTTGTGGCTTAAAATAATACTCATTTGTTATCTTACAGTTTCTGCTGGCCAAAAATCTGGCTCAGGGTCTCACAAGGGTAAAATCAAAGTGTTGGCGGGGGTATTTTCTCATCTAGAGGTTTGTCTGGAAAAGAATTCACTTTGAGTTCTTTCATATTATTGTCAGAACTCATTTCTTGCAGCTTTAAGACTGAGGCCTCTGTTGTTTTGCTGGCTATTAGATCGGGGTCACTCCCACTCCTAAGGCTGTTTTCAGGTCCTTGCTACATGGCCCTCTCAAAAACCTCTCAAAACATGGCTGTTGGATTCTTCAAGCCCAGGAAGAGAATATTTTACATTTTAGTGGGGTACAGTGGCTCACCTGTAATCCCAGCACTTTGGGAAGCTGAGGCGGGTGGATCACTTGAGTCCAGGAGTTTGAAAGCAGCCTAGGTAACATGGTGAAACTCTTGTCTCTGTGAAAAAATTATAAAAAATTAAGCAGGCATGTTGACGTGCATCCATAGTCCCAGCTCCTCAGGGGGCTGAGGTGGGAGGATCACCTGAGCCCAGGAGGTCAAGGCTGCAGTGAGCAGTGAACATGCTACTGTACTCCAGCCTGAGTGATAGAGCAAGACCCTTTCTCAGTAAAATAAAACAGAATAAAATAATAAAATACCTTGCTGGATTAGGTCATGCCCATACAGAATAAGTTCCTTTTTTAGTAATTTAAATCTACTGATTAGGGACCTTAATTACATCTTTCCCATAAGATATAACCTATTCATGGGAGTAAGATCTAATTATGTTATTAAGTCCCACCTACAGTCAAGGGGAGGGGATTATTTGGGGTTTGTACACCAGGAGACAGGAATTTAAGAATTCTGTCTGCTGTACTCCTTCTAAACCTTCTTCTCTCATCTCTACAACGTCTTGGTGCTCCAGAGCCCCAGGGCTCAGTCTTTGGTTCTCCTTTCTCCTCTATCTTTGTTTACTCCCTAGGTGATCATATCATTCTCACCTATTTAAGTACTATTTGATGCTGATGAATACCAAACTTATAACCCCAGTCCGTATTTCTTCCTTTATGTCAGACTCAAGTATCCAACTATGTATTTGATTTGGACATAGATTAGACATCTCCTTATTCACAAATCTCAGATGGACCTTTATCCCTCTCTGCAATCCACTTGCTTTGTGGTCTCTCCTTTAATTTGTTATTTTTCACATATCCTGTCAAATTACACTGCTAGGCCTCTTTCCATCTTTATAAAGGCAGTATCCTTTAATCCTCCTCCCTCAAATTATTCTTCTCCATCTGCCTTACAGACTTCCAGCCCAAGGTCAATCCTTTTATCTTTTTGTACTATCTTTTACCAAGTGAGTGGAACAGTGATGGAGAACATAACATAGGCATGCATTTTTTTGGTGCCACTTTGTGCCACTACAAGTAAATGATCTCCAACTCCAAGGGGGCCTCCGTGCTTTTGAGGAATAAGTTTACTTGTCTACTCTGTCTTTGTATCTTTGTGATATAAATGCCTTTAAACATTTATCATTCTTTTAACTTCTGTGCACCAATGAGAGTTCCCCACAAGCAGGAGGTACAGGTGCCTCCTACCTAATATCTAATGCCTATACTCATGAATACTCATTCCGCTGTCTTCCTGTGATCACACATAAGTCATTCTTCAAATGTCCCCATTTTCTTTATATTTTTAATGCTTTCCTTTCCAGTGGCTCTTTCCCTTAGGTGATAAATATGTACAAATCTATTGCATCTAAAAACAAACTAAAAAAAAAAAAACACCTTCTTTGTCCTTGGGTACTTCTCTGCTTGCTACCTTGATTTTCTTATATGCAATTCAATCAATCATCTTGACAGAGTGCTCTTATTTACCCTTTTATTTTCTGACCTGTTTACTGCATGACTCTCGGGCTTCTGCTCCGAAAATACCATTAAACTGCTCTCTCTCAAAAGTTACTAATAACTGCTAAATTTCAAAACCCATAAACATTTTTCAGGTCTCTTCTATTGCCATCTGACGGTATCTGTCACTTCTGTCTTCTTGAAACAATGGAATTATTGGGCTGTAGTTCCACTTCTACCTCTCGGATTGCTTTTAATTTCCTTAGACATTAATTTCTCATTCTGTGTCCCTTAGTTTCTTATTTCTTTATTATAACATCTGATTATTTCCTCATCTAATCCTACAACTTTAACTATGTCAAATAGATTGGTGACCGTGCTATATAAATTTATTTTTTAGGTGTGGCTTCTAGATCCAGATCCTTATTTCTAATCTAGACATTAGACAGACCCCAAAAAACTTAGACTCCTTCATGATTCTCTTTTTCCCCCCACAACATACTTGTCCTTTTGTAATGTTAGTCTTGGCTTATGTATCCAGTCGCAAAACCAAAAACCTGTTGGTCACCATTTCATTTTTTAATTTATTAACTTACCAAGTATTTTTGGGTGTTAATTGTACACTATGCATGCACTGTGCGAAAGGCTGGCAGGATATTAATGAAATGAACAGATGCAGTTTTTAATTTTTTGTTTGTTTGTTTACCAAACTTTTACTTTATATTCTAGTGGGAGAGACAAAGACAAGATAACAAGCAAATTAATAATTGCATCTTTGGTAACTTTTCTGAAGAAAATAAACATTAGACTCGGTCAGAGAATAATGGTGAAAAGGTTGCCCTGGAAAAAGTGATAAGGAACAGCCTTTTTGGGATGGTGAATATGAAGAGTATGGTAAGATCTTTCTTTCTTTCTTTCTTTTTTTTTTTTTTTTCTGAGACAGAGTCTTGCTCTGTCACCCAGGCTGGAGTGCAGTGGCGCAATCTCGGCTCACTGCAACCTCCGCCTCCCGGGTTCAAGCAATTCTCCTGCCTCAGCCTCCCAAGAGGCTAGGATTACAGGTGCCCACCACCACATCCGGCTAATTTTTGTATTTTTAGTACAAATATTAGTTTCACCAGGACAGCTTGTGCAAAGGCCATGAGGCATAAAACTATTTAGCCAGTTTTAGGGCCTGATGAGTCCCAAGAAGGAGATTATAATTAGAAGTAATCAATCGTATGTCTACCAAAGAAATTATCCAAGCTAACTCCTGCCTGCCCTTCATGCCTTTTAAATTTATTTTATTTTATTTTTGTGAGAGTGGGATGTGGCTTCTGTATTTCACACGGGGAAGACCTCACCTAAGATATTGTGTTCTCTTCTGGAAAGCTCACCTTTGGAGGTCTTTTAATCAAATTGAAGAATGTTGAAGGGCAAGGAATGAGAATATTTCTGGGTCATTGTAAATCACATGAGAAGGTACCTGAAGGAGCTGAGAATGTTTCATCTGCAGAAGGAAAGAATCAGAAATTTGATAACTGTTTTTGATTATTTTTAAGGACTCATGTGTAGTAAGGTTTGGATTGATTTTGAGAGGTTCTGGAGGAGAGAACTAGGATGAAAAGTGGAAATAATGGGAGGGAAAATTTAACTTTAACATAAAATAATTTCCAACCATTAAAGAACATCTTAAAATGAATCAGGCTACTTTAGAGAATAAATTCCTCAATCCTGTATGTGCTTAATAACAGGCTAGAGAGACACTTTCATAAAAAATTAAGCTAGATTACCTCTTAAATGATAAACTGCCTTTTTACATTCATGTTTTATTTTATTTTTATCATATTATTCTTAAAAATAAATTTTAAGTTTTATTTTAGAATCAGCAGTTGCTTGGAAGTATTTATTATGTAAGTATATGGTGTGATGCTGAGGTTTGGAGCACAGTTGATTGCGTCGTCCAGGTGCTGAGCATAGTACCCAAGAATTAGGTGGCGTTTTTGTTTGTTTGTTTGTTTTTGTTTTCTTTTTTGAGACAGAGGCACGCTCTGTCGCACAGGCTGGAGTGCAGTGGTGTGATCTCGGCTCACTGCAATCTCCGCCTCCTGGGGTCAAGCAATTATCCTATCCCGCCTCAGCCTCCCGAGTAGCTGCGATTACAGGTGCTTGCTACCATGCCTGGCAAATTTTTGTAATTTTAGAAGAGACGGGGTTTCACCATGTTGGCCAGGCTGGTCTCGAATTCCTGACCTCAGGTGATCCGCCCGCTTCAGCCTCCTAAAGTGCTGGAATTACAGGCATGAGCCACTGTACCCGGCCAAGAATTATTTTTTTAACCTTTGTCCCCGCACTTTGTCTCCCTCTAGTAGTCCCCAGTATTTATCGTTGCCATCTTTATGCCCATGAGTACCCAATTTTTAGCTTCTACTTACAATAAGTGAGAACATGCGATATTTGCTTTTCTGTTTCTGTCTTAATTTGCTTAGGATAATGCCTCCATGCCTTAAATTTGTTCCCAAAGAAATAATGAATATTTTAGATGATGGATATGCTAATTACCATAATCTGAGTTTTACAAGTTTAAGATTTTTTTTACTGTTACTTCACAGTTTAACTCCATTTTTGTTCAGGAATATTATTCTATATAATTTCAGTCCTTCTGAATTTGACATCTTTTATGCCTCAGCAGGTGGACTATCTTAGTAAATATTCCATGTATCTTTAGAATACATGGAATTCCATCTGTAGATATTCATTCCATTTGTAGATGTCCATATGTCCATTATGTCCAAATGTCCATTATGTCTACTTATTTGATAGTGTTTGTGTCAGATGAAAAAGAATATCTTAGATCCTTTGTAAAGAAATGGTTCTACCCATAGCAAGGAGTGTGGTTAGCTGTCAGCCTCTAGCTGCTAGCTCCATTAGGGTCTACCTCAGGTTTTGAGTTGAGGTTACTTTCTTCTTGCCAATGGCTTAACCCAATATGAGGCTCTTCTAAAAGCAAATCTTTGTTCCAGAGCTTCCCATGGGGTTGGCCAATATTTTGCGAGATCTTATATCACCGTCTGATGAGTTCTTCTCCGTAAGCCTTTCTCCTTTCCTTTCTTTTATCTATTTTTTTTATTATACTTTAAGTTTTAGGGTACATGTGCACAACGTGCAGGTTTGTTACATATGTATACATGTGCTATGTTGGTGTGCTGCATCCATTAACTCGTCATTCAACATTAGGTATATCTCCTAATGCTATCCATTCCCCCTCCCTTCACCCCACAACAGGCCCCGGTGTGTGATGTTCCCCTTCCTGTGTCCCTGTGTTCTCATTGTTCAGTTTCCATCTGTGAGTGACAACATGCGGTGTTTGGTTTTTTTCTAAGACGTTACTTGTCAGTGCAACTTCTGTAAATCTAATGTTATCTCAATGTCTGATTGCTGGAGAACCTGACTAGCATAGTTGGCATGAGGAGTGGTTTGACAATGCAAGCCATGCTCAATTAGCAAGTCATTGAAAACTAAGCATGAGAGCCAGAGTGCTTTGGCAGCTTACAAAGAAGCCCTTATCTCATGCAGTAGATTAGCAGAAAGAGCTGAAGACCAAACCCTTGTCTAAGAGTCAGAGCAGGTGAACTTTCAACACAGTTCAATGCACAGATGTAGTTGTGAGATGTCAAAGTCAGGGCCCTAGCTGGAGAACCTGGCACCATACCCCAAGGATAGTGTTATCTGGGTGAATTTATCCCTCCTCCAGTTTGATTCCTCAGACTTCTTTGAATCTTCTGAGCTTTCGAAGGACCTTTCTCCCATCCCAGAAGGCACTAACACTATCCCTGTGCAGAAAGTAATATAGAAGGACAGAGAGGGAGGGAGAACATGACAATCAGTTATTTTGACTATGGGGGAATAGCTGGTCTGATTCAGTTACACCTTTGTGTCTGGAAGTAAAACTTTTTCCTTTAACTTTTTAAATAGACTTTATTTTTTACATCAGTTTGAGGTTCACAGCAAAACTGAGTGGAAGATACATGAATTTCCTATATATCCCCTGCACCCACTTGTACACAACCTCCCCTATCATGAAAATCCTGCCCCAGAGTGGTACTTTTGTTACAGTCAGTGAATCTATATTGACATCATTATCAAAGTCCATGGTTTATATGACTTTTGGTGTTAAACATTCTATGGGTTTTGATAAGTTGATAATGACATATATATAGCATTAGTACTATAGAGAGTAGTTTCACCACCCTGAAAATCCTCTGTGCTCCACCTATTCTTCTTCCTTCCCCAACCACTGGCAAACACTGATCATTTCACTGTCTCTATAAGTTTTAACTTTTCCAGACTGTCGTTTAGTTGGAATCATACAGTACGCAGTCTTTTCAGATTGGCTTCTTTCCCTTTGTAATGTGCATTATGGTTCCTCCCTGAGTAGTCTTTTCATCGCTCAATACCTTACTCAAATTTTAGTGCCGAATAAGATTCCATTGTCTGGATCCTCATTTCTTTTGATATGTTAGCATGATATATCTTTCTCAATCCGTTACTTTTAATATATATGTGTCTTTATATTTAAAGTGTGCTTCTTGTAAACAGCATATGGTTAGGTCTTGTTTTTTTATTCACTCAGACAATCTCTGTCTTTTAATTGGTATATTTAGACCGTTGATGTTTAAAGTGATTATTGACATACTTGGAATAACATCTACTGTATTCGCTAATGTTTTCTATTTGTTACCCTTGTCCTTTATTCACAGTTTTGAATTCTACTTTTTCTTCCCTTGATGCTTTTAATTGAGCATTTTATTTAATACCATTTTATCTCCTTTCTTAGCATAACAGTTATATTTTTTTTCCTATTTTTAAGTGGTTGCCCTAGAGTTAGCAATATAGATTTACAATTCATTAAAATCCACTCTTTAATGCTGCTTTAGTACTGTGAGTACTTTATAGTAATAAAATAACCCTCATTATTTTATTATTGCTGTCATTTATTTTATGTATACAAATAAATTGGTTACAAATTTCCTCAAATTTTATTGTCTGAAGAAGTGTTTATTTCTCTTTCACTTTTGAAGGGTAATTTCTTAGGACAAAGAATTCTAGGTTGCTGGGATTTTTTTTCTCTTAACACATTAAATATTTTACTTTATTCTCTTTTTGCTTGCATGGTTTCTGAGAAGTAATTGGATATGATTCTTATTTTTGCTCCTATTTAATAAGATGTTTTGTTTTCTCTGGTTTCTTTCAAGGTCTTTTGTCTTTGATATTCTGAGTTTAAGTATAATATGGCTAGGGTTTTTTTATTTTTCCATTTATCCTGTTTGGTGTTCTCTGAGCTTCTTGCATCTGTGCTTTGGTGTCTGACTTTAATTTGGGGGAATTTTCATCCATTATTGCTTCAAGTATTTCTTCTTTTCTCTCCCTTGCTTTCTTCTCTTTCATCTTAGTTTGCATATGTTACACTTTTTGTAGTTCTTCCACAGTTCTTAAATACTGTTTGGGTTCTTTTTTCAGCCTTTTTTCTCTTTGCTATTTAGTGTTTGAAATTTTCGTTGAGTATTCTCAAGTTCAGAAATTCTTTCCTCAGCTGTGTTCAGTCTAATAGTAATCCTATCAAAGGCATTCTTCATTTCTATTAGTGTGTTTTTGATCTCTAGCATTTCTTTTTTATTCTTTCTTAGAACTTCTGCTGACATTGTTCATCTGTTATGATGTGTTATCTCCTTTATCCAATAGAGCCCTTAGCACAATAATCATAGTTGTTTGAAATTTCTCATCTGATAGTTCCATCATCTCTGCCATATGAGTTTGGTTCTTATGCTTGTTCTAGCTCTTCAAACTATATTTGCGACTTTTAGTATGCCTTGTAATTTTTTCCTGATAGCTGGACATGATGTATTGGGTAACAGGATAAATAGGCCTTTAGGAATGAGGTGATAAGATGTCAGAGGAGGGAAAGTGTCCTACAGTTGCCTGATTAGGTCTCAGTGTTTTAATGAGCTTATGCCTCTGGACTGTTAACCTCACATGTGCTTCTCACTTCTCCCATGGATTCCCCCCATCCCTGGCCCCAGGTGGGACAGAATAGCTAGATTGGACTGGAGTTGGGTATTTTTCTTCTTCTATGTGGAAAGCTAGAGAAGGCTAGAGTTGGGTATTCCCTTTCCCCCAGTTTAGTTAGGCCCCCAAACAAAACAGTAGTCTAGGCTCTGGGAAAACAGTTTTTTCTAGGGGCAGGCCTTATCAATAGCAGAATACTTTGGTAAATTTCAAAATGATTACTTTTTTCTTCCCCTTGCAAGGAGCATGAAGGAATTTTTAAATTCTCTTCTTTCTTTTTCATTTCTCTTCTCCTCTTTCACTGTCAAAACCTGGTTTAGCTCTAGGAGCTAAAGCTCACAAAAGTGTAGGGGTACTCCTTTAACTGGGTTTCCCTGGACTTTTTGACTCTCAAAATAATCTATACTGAGCCTCTAGTAATTTATTAATTACAGCTCAGGTTTTCTTACCCAGCACTGGTCCCCATGGAGGTTTCAGCTTGTGGGTCTTTGCTCTGGTAAGTTGTGATTCTCTGTATTCATCTGTCTCTCCAATTTGGAGGCCAGTGATTTTCCCTGTGACATTACTTCTCTGACAGATCTAAGAAGAGTCGTTGATTTTTCAGTTGGTTCAGCTTTTTTTTTTTTTTTTTTTTTTTTTTTAAAGACGGAGTCTCGCTCTGTCGCCCAGGCTGGAGTGCAGTGGCAACATCTCGGCTTACTGCAAGCTCCACCTCCCGGGTTCACGCCATTCTCCTTCCTCAGCCTCCCGAGTAGCTGGGACTACAGGCGCCCGCCACAACGCCCGGCTAATTTTTTTGTATTTTTAGTAGAGATGGGGTTTCACCGTGTTAGCCAGGATGGTATCAATCTCCTGAACTTGTGATCCGCCCGCCTCGGCCTCCCAAAGTGCTGGGATTACAGGCATGAGCCACCGCGCCAGTTGGTTCAGCTTTTTACTTGTTGGTAGGAATGAGTGACAACTTCTAAGCTCTCTACCTACCAGACTGTAAATTGGAAGTTTGTCCTTAAAATGTCAATTCTAGTTTTTAAAACATATTACTACCACATAGCTTTTGAGAATAAGCTGTCTACTAGTTCATTAGCTAAGCTATTTTTTATTGTTCAATCTTTGTTTTAAATGTTAAATTTGAAGTCTTCTTTATTTATAAAAATGCAGTGTTCTCTCCCAAATCTTACTTGTTTTCTATAGGCTCTTGTTCCCAGTTTTTTTCTTTTCTTCAGATATTTAAAATCGTCTGATAATTCTGATATTTACATTCTTTGAGGGTCATCTGTAACTTATGTGGTTTCTTTTATGATTTTTGACTCTGAACTGCTCATTTCCCTTGGAACTTTATATTTGGAAAGTTTTTGTTTAATGAATTGATGTTGCACATCCCTAGAGATGATTTTACTTTCTTCTATCAGTCATCAGGGAGCACTGCAAACCTTACCATACTTTAAATTAAAATTTCTGCTCCAAGTTTTACTCCTGAACATGTGGGTAAGCATAAATTCAAGCAAAAATCCATGTGACACTCAGTTCATGGTTACAAAATATCATGGGAGATTTTCTTTTCTTTCATCCAGTTACAAGTTTAAAATGGATAAATATTTTTGCTGTCCCTTCTTTATAATGGGTTCATTTTTCATTCATTCTTTGGCTTATCATAGGGCACTTTGGGGTACCAGATTTATCAGGCATATTTTATTAAACTACCCATGTCACATTAAAAACTTCTGTTCTTTCTAGCCCATACAGTCCTAGGGGAACGGGAAACTTTAGTCTCCCAAAATTTGGCAGAAATTTTCAGAATAAAAGCTGAATTTCACACATTTCATTTGCTTCTCAGCTTCTGTTTACATGTTATTTTAGCCCTCTGTGGTTTCTTCACTGTCTCTACAGCTTAATGATGTATTCATATATATTTAATTTTTCCCAGTTTATGTATATATGTTTCTCATTCAGGAGGATTATTTTATAAAAGAATTATTTTTCCTTTGTTTCAGCTAACAAAATTTGTGTTATATATTTATTTTTCATACGTAGAGATAGTAAATTGCATTTTATTTTTATCCTATTAAATCTATATGTTCAATCATGTAAGTCAGAACGTTATATGTACTTAGTAAAATTGGTCTTCAAATAAGTTTAATCAGTGGTTTAATTCATCACTTATTAATTAATTTCATTACATTGTTTAGACCTGCTTATTCGGTATAGTGAATATTAATTGAAAGCACTTACATCCATATTAAAACAGAATTACAATGTTCCTGAAAAGCCACTTTCCTGAGAAGAACTGCAACAGATTTTCATGATATCAAGAAGGCTTTATGTTCCTGTAAGAAAGTTTGGCTGTAAGTTCCTATCAAGATTCTACAAGGTAATTTTTATATGTCACTGTAAAAATGTCATCTAATGTGCTGTGTTGTGATGACGTTTATGTAGTTTGCCCTGTTATTCTCCTCTTTCTTATCCCTAAATAGAGTTTATTGCTGAAGTTATTTCTTTGTGGAAATTTATGTTACACTTGCCAGTGCTTTGTTCTGTCAGGACGCTGGAGTGCAATTCAGTAAGTAATGTACCTATGAGCACTCTCAAGTCCTCATTGGAGCAATGCTCTATCTGAGGGGATCTGATTTACAGTCAAAGAGGCAGCCAGGCAGAATGTTGCTGGATGAAAAGTTCAAAACTCTAAATAATACATAAAATAAAAATAAAATAGAATATATCTCATTGCATCTATTTATTAGAACTTTTTTTTGAGTTAAATCTACAAGAGTAAGCCCACTTTAATTTCTTAGAGAAAAGTTACTAAATAAATCTAGGTGGTTATGAAAACTTTAAAATATATCCTACTTCTTAGAAAAAATAAAACAAATATACTTTGGAAGATACATAAAACAACTTTTCATAGGAATTTGAAATAGAGATTTGGAGAAGTATTTTCAAGATCCCTAGTTTTAAGACTGTTTTCTGCCATTAAATAGATGTTCTAATTTGAACTAATCCTACAATTAAGAGATGGCTTTAAGGTAAGGAAAATAATACTTCGTCATATCTATAAAATATAAATTCCTTATACTTTTATTTAGTGTATATTGTAGAAAATAAACTTTTCTAATAGCACATTAAAAGGATATTTTCTCTCAATATGGCAGTCAGAATTCTCAAAAGTCTGAACATATCTTAGACTATAATGAATATTTTGTTTAGAAATAGTGGCACCTTTAGTTATTGAACTTCTGTTAAGCAGAAAATTAGAAAAAAATGAAAAAGAATTAGGATCAAAGCTATATTTCACATATGTAGCTGGGGTTGATTAGTGTTTTATGAGCGATAAGGATTTTATCCAATGACAATGTAGACTAGTAGGTGTGAATGTATTTTTGTCATTGAAACCAGCTTGCCAGACTTTTGATTTATGACATGATGATGAATTAGTATGTGTTAACACCTCCCTTTCCTTATATTCACCCTTGTAAGTGTCCCAAAGTGAGAGAGAGGAAGGTGACAAGCTCTCTTTTTTTAGAGATAGGTCTTACCTCGTAGCCTAGGTTGAAATTAAGTGGCAAAATCATAGCTCACTGTAGCCTCAAACTCCTGGGCTTAAGTGATCCTCCTACCTTAGCCTCTGAAGTAGTTGGGACTACAGATGCATGCCACCATACCCACTAATTATTACTTTTTATTTTTGTAGAAACCAGGTCTCTCTATATTGCCCAGGCCAGTCTCAAACTGCTGGTCTCAGGCAATCTCCTCATCTTAGCCTTCCAAAGGGCTGGGATTATAGGTGTGAGCCACCACACCCAGCTGGCTCTCATAACCTGGGATTAAAATAGCAAAAGACAAAAAAATGCACAAACAAAACGTCTAGGCCTACAAACAGTATAAGAGTCACTGGGGAAGAAATAGCAATCAAAAAAGGAAGAGAACTACAGATCATGGATAGGTAGACTTGGGGGTTATGGTTTTTGTTTCAGTTATAAAATGATGGTTCATTGCTATTCTCTGGTCACTAAGAAAAAGTCCAAACTCTAGCAAAAAGGGAGTTGCCCACAGAAAGAACCCCAAATATCTGTGGAGAGTAACTTCAAGGATTCATCTGAATATTATCAGTGCATACATTAGAGAAAAGAGCCTCAGCCTGGTAAAAAAAAAAAAAAAATTCTGAAACAACTAAAAGGGTCAGTGCCCGGTACTCACACAGGGGTGGGAATAATGCCTATTCACAACAGTTAGACCTAATAGCTCATAATTCATAGGGCATTGGGTAGTCTATGCAGAGTATCTTGTGTCAGTGGTGAGTAATAATTAACCCTACACTGAGCACCACTCCAGACCCACTAAAAATCGTAAAAGCAACACCCAAGAGTATCAGACAGTTTCTCAGTAATTTAAAATGAATTTCAGAAAAAACCCTCAAGAATATTTATAAGAATTTTTGAAATCCAGTAACTATCAAGGTAAAATTCATGATGTCTTATATCCATTCAGTGATGACTAGGCATGAAAAATGAAACCAGAAAACAAGACCAATATGAGGAGACTAATCAATTGACTCAGAATTTGTATAGTTGTTAGAATTAGCAGACACCTACATTAAAACTGAATGTAAAACTTTTCATAGGTTCTGAAGTTAAATTGAAACAATGAGATACCATTTCACACTGTTTTAAGTATCTAAAATTAAAAGGACTGATAATGCCGTGTGTTGGGAAAAATGTTGAGGAAGGGTAATTCTCATCCTTTCTTATTAGAGACACAAAATATCACAAAACCTAAAGGTTTTGTGATTGTTTATAACACTGAATATACACCTACCCTATGACCCAGGAATTCCCACTTCTAGGTACTTATCTAAAAGAAATGAAATCATGTTGATGCAAAAAGCCTTGTGTAACAATTTACATGGTAGATGTGTTCATCATATTCAAAACCTGGAAACAGCTCAGGTGCATCAGCAAGAAAAGGAATATGCAAACTGGATAAAATGGAAATGATGATAAAGTAAAATCCAGTCTTAAAGTGGAATAGAATTCACAGATTAAAAGGAGGAACTACTAATACAAACACAACACAGAGGAATATCACAGATATTATACTGACTGGAAGAAACAAGAAGCAAAAAAATATATAATGCATGATTTGATTCTATAAAGTTCTACAACAGGCAAATAATGGAAAGCAGAACAGTAATTGATTTGTGGGCGGGGGTGGGATTGACGTGATATGGGCATGATTTAACTTTCTAGGGTGATAGAAATGTTCTATATCTTCATACGGGTATGACTTATGTGTCCACAAAACAACCATACATATTTTTGAAGACTGCATACAAACAAAAATATTTATTCAACACTTTACATTGCTGGGGTAAATGCCCCAATTAAAAGACACAGACTGGCAAATTGGATAAAGAGTCAAGAACCAGGAGGAGCCAAGATGGCCGAATAGGAACAGCTCCTGTCTACAGTTCCCAGCATGAGCGACGCAGAAGACGGGTGATTTCTGCATTTCCATCTGAGGTACCGGGTTCACTCACTAGGGAGTGCCAGACAGTGGGTGCAGGACAGTGGGTGCAGTGCACCATGTGCCAGCCGAAGCAGGGCGAGGCATTGCCTCACTCGGGAAGCACAAGGGGTCAGGGAGTTCCCTTTCCTGGTCAAGGAAAGGGGTGACAGACGGCACCTGGAAAATCAGGCCACTCTCAGCCGAATACTGCGCTTTTCCGACGGGCTTAGGAAATGGCGCACTAGGAGATTATATCCCGCACCTGGCTCAGAGGGTCCTACGCCCACAGAATCTCGCTGATTGCTAGCGCAGCAGTCTGAGATCAAACTGCAAGGTGGCAGCGAGGCTGGGGGAGGGGCGCCCGCCATTGCCCAGGCTCGCTTAGGTAAACAAAGCAGCCAGGAAGCTTGAACTGGCTGGAGCCCACCACAGCTCAAGGAGGCCTGCCTGCCTCTGTAGGCTCCACCTCTGGGGGCAGGGCACAGACAAAGAAAAAGACAGCAGTAACCTCTGCAGACTTAAATGTCCCTGTCTGACAGCTTTGAGGAGAGCAGTGGTTCTCCCAGCATGCAACTGGAGATCTGAGAACGGGCAGACTGCCTCCTCAAGTGGGTCCCTGACCCCTGACCCCCAAGCAGCCTAACTGGGAGGCACCCCCAGTAGGGGCAGACTGACACCTCACACGGCCAGGTACTCCTCTGAGACAAAACTTCCAGAAGAACGATCAGACAGCAGCATTCGCGGATCACGAAAATCTGCGGTTCTGCAGACACCACTGCTGATACCCAGGCAAACAGGGTCTGGAGTGGACCTCTAGAACTCCAACAGACCTGCAGCTGAGGGTCCTGTCTGTTAGAAGGAAAACTAACAAACAGAAAGGTGCTGTATTGAAGAGACTCATCTCATGTGCAAAGACACACATAGGCTCAAGATAAAGAGAGGGAGGAAAATTTATCAAGCAAATGTACAACAGAAAAAAGCAAGGTTTGCAATCTTAGTCTCTGATAATACAGACTTTAAACCAACAAAGATCAAACAAGACAAAGAAGGGATTACATAATGGTAACGGGATCAATTCAACAAGAAGAGCTAACTATCCTAAATATATATGCATCCAATACAGGAGCACCTAGATTCATAAAAGAAGTTATTAGAAACCTACAAAGAGACTTAGACTCCCACACAATAATAGTGTGAGACTTTAACACCCCACTGTCAATATTAGACAGATCAAAATTAGATAGAAAATTAACAAGGATATTTAAGACTTGAACTTAGCTCTGGAACAAGTGGACCTAATAGATATCTATAGAACTCTCTACCTCCAAACAACAGAATATACATTCTTCTCGGTTCTGCGTGGTGCTTATTCTAAAATCAACCACATAGTTGGGAGTAAAACACTCCTCAGCAAATGCAAAAGAAATGAAATCTTAACAAGCAGTCTCTCAGACCACAGTGCAATCAAATTAGAACTCAGGATCAAGAAACTCACTCAAAACCACACAACTACATGAAAATTGAACAACCTGCTCCTGAATGACTCCTGGGTAAATAATGAAATTAAGGCAGAAATCAAGAAGTTCTTTGAAACCAGTGAGAACAAAGAGACAATGTACCAGAATCTCTGGAATGCAGCTAAAGCAGTATTAAGAGGGAAATTTATAGCACTAAAGGCCCACATCAGAAAGCTAGAAAGATCTCAAACTGACACCCTAATGTCACAATGGAAAGAACTAGAGACACAGGAGCAAACCAATCCAAAAGCTAGCAGAAGACAAGAAATAAGAAGAAAAGAGAAGAATCAAATAGACACAATAAAAAAATGACAGAAGGGATATCACTGCTGACCACACAGAAATACAAACTACCATCAGAGAATACTATAAACACCTCTATGCAAATAAACTAGAACATCTAGAAGAAATGGATAAATTCCTAGACACATACACCCTCCCAAGACTAAACCAGGAAGAAGACGAATCCCTGAATAGACCGACAACAATAAATAGCCTACCAACCAAAAAAAGCCCAGAACCAGATGGATTCACAGCTGAATTCTACTGGACATTACAAAGAGGAGCTGGTACCATTCCTTCACAAACTATTCCAAACATTTGAAAGGGAGAGGTTCCTCCCTAACTCGTTTTTTGAGGCCAGCATCATCCTGATACCAAAACCTGGCAGAGACACAACAAAAAAAGGAAACCTCAGGCCAATATCCCTGATGAACACTGATGCAAAAATCCTCAGTAAAATACTGGCAAATCAAATCCAGCAGCACATCCAAAAGTTTATCCACCATGATCAAGTCAGCCTCATTTCTGGGATGCAAGGCTGGTTCAACATATGCAAATCAATAAACAAAATCAATCACATTAATATAACCAATGACAAAAACCTCATGATTATCTCGATAGATGCAGAAAAGGCCTTTGATAAAATTCATCATTCCTTCATGTTAAAAACTTTCAGTAAACTAGGTATTGATGAAACATATCTCAAAATAATAAGCGCTATTTATGACAAACCTGCAGCTAATATACTGAATGGCCAAAAGCTGGAAGCATTCCTTTTGAAAACTGGCACAAGACAAGGATGCCGTCTCTCACCACTCCTATTCAATATAGTATTGGAATTTCTAGTCAAGGCAAGCAAGAGAAAGAAATAAAGGGTATTAAAAAAGAAAAGAGAGGAAGTCAAAATATCTCTGTTTGCAGATGACATGATACCATATTTAGAAAACCCATCATCTCAGCTCCAAAACTCCTTAAGCTAATAAGCAACTTCAGCAAAGTCTCAGGATACAAAATCAATGTGCAAAAATCACAAGCATTCCTATAAACCAACAATAGAGAAGCAAAGAGCCAAATCATGAATTAACTTCCATTCACAATTTCTACAAAGAGAATAAAATACCTAGGAATAGAGCTAATAAGGGACATGAATGACCACTTCAAGAAGAACTACAAACCACTTCTCAAGGAAGTAAGAGAGGACACAAACAAATAGAAAAACATTCCATGCTCATGGATAGGAAGAATCAGTATCATGAAAATAGCAGTACTGTCCAAAGTAATTTATAGATTCATGGCTATTCCCATCAAACTAACATGGACATTCTTCACAGAATTAGAAAAAAAAAAAACTACTTTAAACTTCATATGGAACCAAAAAAGGGCCTGCATAATCAAGACAATCCTAAACAAAAAGAACAAAGCTGGAGGCATCACACTGCCTGACTTCAAACTACACTACAAGGCTAGAGTAACCAAAACAGCAATGGAACAGAATAGAGAGCTCAGAAGTAAGACCATACATCTACAACCATCTGATCTTTGACAAATCTGACAAAAATAAGCAATGGGGAAAGGATTTCCTATTTAATGAATGGTGCTGGGAAAACTGGCTAGCCATATGCAGAAAACGGAAACTGGACCCCTTTCTTACACCTTATACAAAAATTAACTCAAGATGGATTAAAGACCTAATTGTAAAACCCAAAATTATAAAAACCCTAGAAGAAAACCTAGGCAATACTATTCAAGACATAGCCATGGACAAATATTTTTTGATGAATTCACCAAAAGCAATTACAACAAAAGCTAAAATTGACAGATGGAATCTAATTAAAGAGCTTCTGCACAGCAAAAGAAACTAACATCAGAGTGAAGAGGCAACCTACTGAATGAGAGAAAGTTTTTGCAATCTACCTATCCGATAAAGGTCCAATATGCAGAATTTACAAGAAAAAACAACCCCATCAAAAAGTGGGCAAATGATATGAACAGACACTTCTCAAAAGAAGACATCTATGCGGCAACAGACATATGAAAAAATGCTCATCATCACTGGTCATTAGAGAAATGCAAATCAAAACCACAATTGGATACCATCTCACGCCAGTGAATGGCGATTATTAAAAAGTCAAGAAACAACAGATGCTGGAGAGGCTGTGGAGAAGTAGGAATGCTTTTACACTGTTGTGGGAATGAAAATTAGTTCAACCATTGTGGAAGACAGTGTGGAGATTCCTTAAGGATCTAGAACCAGAAATACCATTTGACTGAGCAATCCCATTACTGGGTATATACCCAAAGGAATATAAATCATTCTATTATAAAGACACATGCACACGTATGTTTATTGCAGCACTATTCACAATAGCAAAGACATGGAACCAACCCAAAAGGCCATCACTGATAGACTGGATAAAGAAAATGTGGTACATGTACACCATGGAATACTATGCAGCCATAAAAAGGAGTGAGATCATGTCGTCTGCAGGGTCATAGATGAAGCTGGAAGCCATCATCCCCAGCAAACTAACACAGGAACAGCAAACCAAACACTGCATGTTCTCATTCATTAGTGGGAGTCGTTGAACATTGAGAACATATGGACACAGGGAGGGGAACAACATACATGAGGGCCTGTTGGAGGTGGGGGGTGCAAGAGGAGGGAGAGCATCAGGACAAATAGCTAATGCATGTGGGGCTTAAAATCTATGTGACAGGTAGACAGGTGCAGCAAGCCACCATGGCACACATATACCTATGTAACAAACCTGCACGTTCTACACATGTATCCTGGAACTTAAAGTAAAAAACACAAAACAAAAAACAAAAAAACACTGTACATTGGATAATATATGGGTATGGGAATAAAAAGTGATAAATAATTATGTAAAAAATTATAGTGACTTTGCTCAGATAATGCTCACTGTATGCCCTGAAATTATCGCTATGAGCAACGCAACTCTTTGCCTACATCAATAAAGAAAAAATACAAATGTTTTGGAGTTAGAGGGCTTTATAAATTCACCAAAGCACTTCCCTTTCATATGGTGTAAATTGCTGCAAGTTGATTAGGTATCTGAAAAACATATCATATGAACAATGCCTATCTTACCTTAAGCAGGCAGAGCATTTTTTGTTTATACTCACATATACAGTAGGTTCATTTGTTCATATTGGTGATAAGTTAGAGAAAAATTAGCAAATAATTTTATTTAACAGTGAATTGTCATTTCTAATTCTTAAAAATGTTAGCAATCATTTTTGCAATTATATTTTTAATATATTCTCAACTGTCACTAATGTTTTGCAGAACTTCACATTCAGTATTTTATGTGTCTAAGATAGTAGTTCAAACCATTTTTCAATCTACCTATATGTGGCCCTCCTTCCTATCATTTACTCCAGAGATCCTCTTACCTTTTCCCAGGAGTATATCTGCCTCCTCTCTAACCAGTATTAATAGAAACAAACAGTGAGAAAAATATTAAAAGAAATAAGAATTCTGTACTTCAGTGAGTCACTCTGTTCTTAGCACAACTATTTAGCTTTTCCAAATATTGGCTTGCTTATCTTTGCCAACCTATTAACTTTTCCTAGTGATTTTCATAGCTTTGATACTATCAATTTGCCCACTTCCCGACACTTGTTTTGAGCACTCTACCTGGCTCTTAATTGATCTTCATTTAAAGCATTTATCTTACTGATAGAATTTCTAAGCCTGTACTTACTTTCATTTCTCCCCTAATTGTGTCAAGTAGATCGGAATTATCTTTTAAAAGGGATAAATGTAATATCATTGCGTTTCCTGATAGCTATTCCCACTGCACATTCTGCATCACTACTTCTGGATGAATGAGCTCTATTTTATGACTTAAATATTAAAGAGGCCCTCTTCCTTTTGCTTCTGGAATGAACCAGGCAGCAAGATCTAGATCAACAAAATTAAAGATTTAAGAAATAATAGAACTAACAAAATTTTTATCTTCCTCTTGCAAAATCCCTGCCACACTGAATGTATATTGCAATGTAGAGGGCCCAGCTCCTATAGATTGTGATTTTTGTCCCGTAAAATATTGCCTCTAAGTCTGATATTATATTGGGAACACAGACTCCACTTATATGGAATAACTTCATAATATTTCTGACAGTTATTTTTTTCTCTTCATTTTTTCCCCCTAAGATTGTGTGACTGCAAAAATACCCTTTGAAGTAGTTGGTCCAGAAACACTGAAGGTTTGTATAGAAGAGACAGACCTTCCACCCTGTCTCTTCTATCACACAGCAATGACTGATAAACTGGAAAATTTAAAGAAGACATAAAGGCTAAATTCCATGACAAATCATGTCAGTGGACTAGTCTAAATGGAAGTGCAAAACAGTAAGTGTGCACTGAAGTGCAAAACCAACTGAGTTCTACATGACCGAATATAAGCATAGATCGCCAGGAATTCAGCTCCTACAAAGAAAATTGGAACCAATGTGTATTGACCCTTGCCAAAAAGTAGAGACTGTTTTGGCTATGAAAATAGTCCTGGTCACAGCTCCCACCAAAAAATGAAAACTTAAAAATAATGATAATTTTAAAAGCTGGGATGTATTTTTTAGGGCCGAGGAAAGTTTCGCACTGAGTTACTTGAGATAATGGGAGAAAACTAAGACAACTGTGCAGCCACCACAGGTAACTCAGGAACTGGATAGTATGCCCAGTTAGGATTAGAGACTTGAGATGTCTTATGTAGCAATAAACTGAGGCTATCAGTGGCATGCAAAGTAAACCCAAAGAAAGCAGAAAGGAAATAAAAAGTACTAAAGGTAAAATCAGTAATTTTAAAAAGAATATATAACCCAATAGAATCAAAGTTTAGTTCTCCAAAAAGACAAATAAAATGGATGAACTTTGGCATAAATAAATAAAAATAATTAATACTAAGGTATTAATTTAATATAGCATATAAGTCTGTATTGAAATATTAAATATAATACAAAATTTAAAATGAATAAAGAACAAAAGAGAAGACACGAATTACTGATAGTAGAAATAAAAATGAGAACATAATCATAGATCCTACAGACATTAAAAAGACAATACATGATGCCTAAAATTTATATGAAAAGGCAAGTGACATACCTAAGACAATATTAAAAAGGAATAAAAGAGTGGGAGCAAACATTCTGCTGGAATTGAAAAAATACCGTAGAGCTGAAATAATCAAAACAGCATCAAGTAATACTGGCAGAGGGATCAACACATAGATCAATGGAAGAGCATAAAGAACACATAATAAGTGTCCCTCACAAATATTGCCAATATGATGGGTTTTTTGTTTGTTTGTTTGTTTTCAAATAGATGGATCTTGCTTTATTGCCTAGGCTGGAGTGCAGTGGTGTGATCACAGCTCACTACCATCTTAAATTCCTGGGCTCGGCCGGGCACAGTGGCTCACGCCTGTAATCCCAGCACTTTGGGAGGCCGAGGCGGGTGGATCATGAGGTCAGGAGTTCAAGACCAGCCTGGCCAAGATGCTGAAACCCTGCCTCTACTAAAAATACAAAAAAATTAGCTGGGTGTGGTGGCGGGCGCCTGTGATCCCAGCCACTTAGGAGGCTGAGGCAGAGAATTGCTTGAACCAGGGAGGCGGAGGTTGCAGTGATCCGAGATCGTGCCACTGCACTCCAGCCTGGGCAGCAGAACAAGACTCATCTAACAACAACAACAACAAAAAATACCTGGGCTCAAGTGATCCTCCTGCCTTAGCCTCCTGAGTAGCTGGGACTACAGGTGTGCGCTGCTGTGCCCAGCTATTTTTTATGTTTTAAAATTTTTTGTAGAGACAAAGTTTCACCATCTTGCCCAGTCTGGACTCGAACTCCTGGGCTCAAGCAACGTTCCTTTCTTGGCCTCCCAGAGTGCTAGGATTACAGGTATGAGCCACCATACCCAGGCCCAAATGATTTTTAACAAAGGTGCAAAAACAATTGAATGAAAGGATAGCCTTTTCAACAATTGATGCTGGTCCAATAGGTCAACATGGCAAAAAAAAAAAAAAAGTCTTGACTTAAGAAATATACCTCATAACATTAACTTACAATGAATCATGGACTTAAATGTAAAATGTAAAACTAAAACATTTTTAGAAGAGAGGAGTAAAGAGACTTTGAGACTTAGGGCCAGGCAGCTTTTAGAGTTGACACCAAAAGCATGATTTAAAAAAGAAAAAACTGATAAATTGGATATCATAAAAATTTAAGCTTTTTCTCTATAAAAGACCCTGGTAAGAGTATGAAAACACAAGCTACATACTTGGAGAAAATATTTACAAACCATATATCTGACAAGGGACTTGTATCTATAACATATAAAGAACTCTGAAAATTTGAGAGTAATAAACAAAACAATCCAATCAGAAAATATACAAAAGACATGAACAGGCAGTTCACCAAAAAGATATAAAAATGCCAAATAAGTGCATGAAGCGATATTCCACATTATTAGCCACTAGGGAAATGGAAACTAAAATAATGAGATATCACTACATACCTATTAGAATAGCTAAAATAACAAAAATTTAAAATAGTGATAACACCAAATACTGGTGAGGATGTGGAGAAACTAGATTACTCATAAATTGCTGGTAATCATATAAAATGGTACAGAATTCTAGAAAATAGTTTGGTAGTGTACTATAAGAATAAACATAAACTTATCCTAATGACCTGCCAATTACACTCTTAGGCATATAACTCAGAGAAACCGAATGATATTCACATAGAAACCTGCCTGTAAATGTTCATAGCAGCTTTATTGATAATAGCTCAAAAACTGGAAACAATTCAGATACCATGTCATAGGTGAATGGTTATGCAAATTGTGATACTTCCATACAATAGAGTATTACTTAGCAATAAAAGAGACAAAATATTGATAACACTCAATAACTTAGATGTATCTTTGAATGAAAATAGCCAATCTAAAAAGGTTACACAGCATATAATTCAATTTATCTAACTTTTGACATAAAATTATAAAGATAGAGAACAGATTAGTGGTCACCATGGTTAGAATTGGGGAAAGAGAGATAGGCATGGCTATAAACAGCTAGCACAAGGAAGCTTTGTATCATGAAACAGTTTTGTAACCCCCATTGTGGTGATGGTGACGCTAATCTATGTGACAAAGTTGTACACACACACACACACATGCACACTCTCTCTCTCTCTCACTCTTGAACAAATGAGTGCATGTAAAACTGGTAATATTCAAATAATCTCTGTGGATTGTATCCATGTTAATTTCTGGTTTTAATATTGTACTATAGATATGCAAAATTTTACCATTGGGAGAAACTGGGTGAGAGTCAACGAGACTTCTATGTACATTTTTTTGCAACTTCTTGTGAAGCTATAATTATTTAAAGGAAAAATTTAACTCCCTTCCTTCCCCCAAAAAGACAATCAACTGATTTTGAACAACATCAATCTATACATTTGACAACTGAGATAAAACGGGCAAAGTTCTGAAAAAACTGAACTTTAAAATCATGCAAGAAAGCCAGTATAAGCCTGTGTTTTTCTAAAAATAAATTTAAGCTGTTACTTATAAATTTTCTCAAATGAAAACCATATGGCATTGCAAGAGAATTCTATCAAACATATAAGGAACAACACATCTTCTAGAGAATAGAAAAGGAAAAAAAGTTTCCAAATTCATTTTTGAGGCTACTATAACCTGATACTGAAACTTAAGTCGTTACAAGAAAGGGAAACTGCAGATCAAAATCTCTTGATTATGGATACAAAAATCTAAAGGAATCTTAGAAAAATTAATTCAGCAATATATATAAAGTTGAATTCATCAAGACCAAGTTGGTTTTATTTTAGGAATTCAAAGTTTATTAAAAGGTAAAACTCAATCAATGTAACTCCAAATTTCAACAGAAAATGGAGAAAAGTATATAAGCATATCAACAGATGGAGAAAAATATATTTGGAAAATTTGACAATCATTCATAATAAAAATTCTTAGAAAGATAAATGAAGTAATCCTTCTAAAGAGTAGTTAAAAACAAACCTACAGCCAACTCCATACTTAGTGGTAAAATATTAATAGATTTCTCCCTAAGGCCAAGAATAAAATTAGGACATCTGTTATCACTTCTTCTATTCAATAATGTATGGGATTTTCCAGCCAGTGATGGATAAGAAAACTTGTTAAGCAATCAGGTATAGATATTAGAAAGCAAGAAATATAATCAGTTTACAAAACAGATAACACAATAGTGTGTGTAGAAGATTCAAACTGCTAAACTATTAAAGAATTTCCAAACTTAAAAGTATTGAGTGATTTTAGAAAGTATGCTGGATGCACACTATATTTTATATACCATCAATAAGCAAATAGAAAATAAAATATACAAATAATATCATGTGAGGAACAGAAAATACCAAATATCTATAAACAGAATAAAAATGTTTGAGAGGTTGATATTGAGAACTACAAGTAAATTGCTGCTGAGAGGCTGAAGAAGACCTACTTAAATGGAATAATATACAATGTTCGTGTAGTAAAAGCTTTGCTATTATAAAGTTGTCAGTTTCCTCCACAGTGATTTATACATTCAGTGCAACTTGTGTAAAAGTTGCAACTACAAGTATAAAAAACACTTGTAATCATATCTTGTGGAAACTGACAAATAGATTCAAAAATCATGAGGAAATACAGGAGGTCAAGTGTGTCTAAGGTGGCTTTCGGGAAGAACAAAGCTAGAATACTCACTGTGTCAGACATGAAGACATTAAGAACTGTAGATATTAACATGCATGATGTTGGCAAAAAATAAACAAATAGAATAAAGAGGCCAGAAACCAATATAAATAAATACAGTCTCCTGTTTTATAAGTGGCAATGATGAAAGATTGTCTTTTTGATAAACAAAGCTGAGTCAATTAGATGTCTATCTATATGCAGACAAAAAACAAACTTTCCCTGCATCTTTTACACAAATCAATTTCTGATCTGAATGTGAAAGATCAAACAATAAAACTTTTATAATAAAACATAGGTGGATATCTTTATGCCTATGCATTATGCAAATATTTCTGAAACTAGACAGAATATATTACTCATAAAAGAAAAACGATAATTTTTGTATTTAAATTATGTTCACCAAAAGATAACATTAAAAGAGGAAAGGCAAACTAAAAATTTGGAGGATGCATATGCAGTACGTATATCTCACAAAGAACTTGCAAACGATATATAAAAATGATTTCTGCAAAGAAAACTACAGTCAATCTAAAAGAGAAGAATAACATTTGAACAGGCACTTTACAAAAGATGATCTCCAAGTAGGCAACAAACATATGAGAAAGTGTGCAATATCATTAGTCATCATGGAAATGCAAATTAAAGTCAATGTGAGGTATCTATATGTAACCACAAGAATGACTAAAATGAAATACCTAGGCAAGATCAAGTATTGTCAAGAATGCAGAGCAAATGGAATTTTCATATACTGCTGGTGAGATACATAGTTACAGAGGAGAAAAAACTGCCAAAAATCAAAGTCAAAATAAAATAATGAAAGGAGAGGAGAAGGGTGGAGGAGAAAGAGAATGGGGGATATAGTTAAAACACATACAGAGAAACTAATATTTGAATTACAAGAGTCTTCTTGTTAGAAAAAAGTAGAACAATATTGAAAACAAAACCTGTTAGTGCACCATTCTATAGCCAGAAAAATTATTTTTCAAAAGTGAAGGTAATGATATTTTGAGACAAACAAAAAGCTGAAATAATTTATTGAAAGCTATGTATCACCTCCCCAGTTTACTCAAACTGAAGGCTTGTAGCCATGGTATAATTCAAGAGCAATGATTTAGGTAATAACATTTCCAATGTATGGAACTGCATAGAGATAAAGAACATACTATTATTTTAAAACAATTTAGCACTGACTCTGCTGGCTTTGTGAGCCTATTCATTCCAAAACAGTGGACGCTAAGACTGTGGTAGGCTGGGTGATGTGGCTCAGGCCTGTAATCCCAGCAGTTTGGGAGGCCGAGGCAAGAGGATCGCTTCAGCCCAGGCGTTTAAGACCAGCTTGGGCAACATAGCAAGACCTTATCTCTACACATAATTGAAAAATTAGCCAGGGGATGATGGCAATCACTTGTAGTCCCAGCTACTCAGGAGGCTGAGGTGGTAGGATCACTTGAGTCCAAGGGGTCGAGGTTTCGGTGATCCATGATAGTACCACTGCACTCCAGCCTGGGTGGAAGAATGAGACCCTGTCTAAAAAGAAAGAAAGGAAGAAACAAAGAAACAAAGAAGAAAGAAGACTATGGATTGTATACAAAATTTCATGGATCTAGATTTATTGTCAATAAAAGAGTGCAAATATTGCTCATGTTTTATCAAGTCTCATTTGAAAAGAAGTCAGTAAGATACTCCAGGCTGAGAGCTAGGATATATTTGTTATGCATTGGTAATCTTTAAGGAAATGCATATGTTTGTGTAGTAATATTAGAAGTAATAGTTTGATTGTATGTGGTAGTAGAGCTTATATAAATTATAGAACATTGCGTAAGTAGCAACTTTTAGAAAAACATTATCAAGAAGTATCTCAAGAAGTGCAATAAATTTAATACATGCTATGTATTTAGAAATAAGATGGAAGAACCAGCCTCAGAGACAGAAAAGAGATAATTTTATGCAGATCTAGTTTAAGGTATGGTAATGATGAAAAGGGGCTAAAGTAAGTCTAAGACTATAGAGCTGTAGAGGTAAACAATTATAACATCATAAACCTACATTTTCCTAACATAGAAAGTATAATCACCACACACACATTCTCTCTCTCTCTCTCCTTTTCCAAAGATGGTTAATAAAATAATGACTAGAACCAGTCTGTGAACTTATAATTAGCACATGTAGCAAGATGAGTTTCTAAGATATGATTTGGTTAATCAGATAGTGTGAAAAGCAGGATTCTAAGTCATAAAGTAATTTGGGAACTTTAATGAGGAGCTAGAGTCTGAAAATATTCTTTGTCTTTGAACAGAGAAACAAAGAATGTATGTGCTGATCCATGATGAGAAATAAAAATTTAGGTATCAGATTTACATCTGCACAATAAGATTTGAAGGGTAATTTGTAGATAAAAGTTACTTGTAGATATCCAGACTTTATAAGTTTCATGTAATCAGCTTTGAAATGCAACCATCTATCACTTTATTTATTGATATTCAGCAGAAAACAGTATCCAATCTAGGGTTTGTATGTGCTTGTTGGTTAAGTTTCTGTGTTTTATTGGTTAGACAGGAGAGTTTCAAATCAATGTATCTATTTCTTCTCCTTTTGGTTCTAGGGTAATTAATATATTGACTTAAGCAAATTATTTTTCTTTTCAAATGCAAAATAGATGCATTTCATTACTGATGATTTGGTTAATGTAAATAACCTAAAATAAGGTGATAAAACAAATTAAAAATAGAAATATGAAAATAAGAGCACCAAACAAAAAGCAGAATGTTACAAGGAGTTATAGGCCAGTATTAATAAACTAGATCAAAAACAATTTTTTATAATAACAAAAAGTCAATTTTTAATCAAAATATTACTCATGAAAAATCATAGTATTGAGGAAATAAACTATTACAAACATAATAAATTACTAAGTATACTTTATTTTCTCATAATAAGTTATTAGAATATAAGAAGAAAGGAATAGGAATGCAACTGGATATTAAACTTTAATGCAATACCTTTGATTTTCATTGGATCAAAAAAGAAAATGAGAAATTGAGAATTATAATATTAAACTATTTCTTCGACTTAATGGTATATTGCCAATTTCAGTTTCTTACAAGAATTCACCTCTTTTAAAAGCCCATGAAATATATTTTTAAAAGTAATCACACATTCAACAAGCCAATAAATCTAAAGAAGTGAATTTTTTTAATTTGATATGTTGTCTGACTACAATAAAAGACCTGGAAAATAGCAACAGACTAAAAATTACTTCTTCATTACCCTGTGGAAGTATGAAACATATTGCAAAATAATTTCATGGTCAAAAAAGAAATTAATTTGCAATTACACAATATTTCTATTACAACATTTTGTATTAAAACATATAAACTATGACAAAACCAACAACCAGAGGCAAATTATAAGTCATTGAATAAATTTCATTATTAAACAAAATTAAACAAAAATGAATAAAAATAAATAAGCTAACACATTTAACTCTGGAAATTAGTTCATGAACAAATGCCTTGAAACCGCCAAACAAAAACTTATTAGGATGAAGAAAAAAGCAGTTTTTGTAAAGATTCAAGCAGAAATTAAAGCACTATAAAAGAGAGAAAGTCAAGAATTGGTAAATATTATTATCTGTCTTACTTTTTCACACATTAGTCATTTAAGATTTACTGAAATTTGAGGTTTTATATTATACCCATTCCATCTAACTTGAGTAAACAGCTATTGTATCTTCTTAATTCTCTCTGTGATAGACGTCTATCAATTGTCTTCTTAGTAAACAAGAATTTTATGAGGATATTTACACATGTCCTTTTATGGTCCTGTTGAAATTTCTTGGGCATATTCTGGGAACCATGATTTCTACTTTACTCTTTATCCTCCTAAGTTCAGCCAGCTCATCTCTGGTGTAGCTATTTCTGCCTAAACGCCCAGAAGCAGTACCTGAGGTTTCTACCTCTCATACTTCTCTGTCAATACTTGTCGTTATTCAGCTTTCTTATGTTACCAATCTTATGTGTACAAATTTTATTAAAAGATAAACTTATGTACATTGGAATTTTAAGGGGTTTATTTGAGCATTCAACTAGTCACGAGCCTGGCAGTACCAAACCTCAAATGCTTTAGCCCTCCACTGAGGAGGGTAGAATGGAAAATTTTATAAAACGCAAATGAAAATATATTTGATTGATAAAAGTGGAAAGTCCCTAGTAAGAGATTAGTTTGGCAGCTTCTGATTGGTTAAGCATAAATTCCATCTTACTGTTTGCATTGAGTTGGGCTTAGGTTCGCTTATTATATAGGAACCCAACCCATTCCAGCTTCGTAGCCTGACAGCTATATATTTTTGTAACAGATGACATATTTTTGCTTAAGTTGCAGTGCTTCACTCTTCAGTGGAGGTTGAACATACCTTTGTTTACTTGACACGATTTTACGCTTCCTGAAGGAACCATTCATATTTCCTTGTAGTGTCTTGTTTGTCTTTGGAATTCAGATTATTTGATTAGCTGTGACCTCGGGTCCTTGATGGGTTCAAGAAATTTTTTTTTGCCGTTTTCCCAGCATAAAAGGAGGTAGTTTTGAAAGGGTGATGGTGGTGGAAAATGCTGAGGCACAGGTTTGGGTTGATAGGATTTGAGAGATCTATAGAAGTAAAGAGTAGAACAGAGAATACTAGAGGATGGGAAGGGGAGAGGGGAGGGAGAGATTTGTTAAAGGATATGAAATTACAGCTAGCTGGAGAAATAATTTTCAATGTTCTATACCACTGTAGGATGACTATAGTTAACAATAATATATTACATAGTTGCAAATAGCTGGAAGGAGAATATTGAATGTTCCCAACACAAGAAAATGATCAATGTTTGAAATGATGGATATGCTAATGACCCTGATTTGATCACCCTACATTATATGTACTGAAACATCACTGTGTACCCCATGACTATGTACAATTATAATTTGTCAATTAAAAAATTAAAAGAATAACTAAATGAGACATCATTGCTAGGAGAGTAGAAAGAATGAAATGCAGGGGAGAAAATTATAAGCCTGAAGTTGAAAAGGCTGCGGTCCAAAGGACAGACCAAGAGTCACAATTAAAATACACATACCTGGCTTCTTGGTATTTCTCTTGCTAAGACACTTCTCCAATTTGTAGGTCATAGTATATAATGGCAAAGAGCCTGGGCTTTGAAATCAGACAGCTGGGATTTGAATCATGACTCTCTTTCCTACCAGCTCTATTACCTTGGGCTAGTTTCTTCTCTATGCGTTAGTTTGTTAACCTAAAACAGGGAAGTTAATATTACCTACTTCCCAGGATTATTGTAAAAATTAAATGAGTTTCATACATAAAATGTCATTACATTTAAATACTTACAGGGTGTCTGCCACTCATTTTATCTTCATAATCACTTTATCTTACCTACGTTTTTCTTTCACTAATGTAAAAACTTAGAAAAATGGCTTCCTCAGGGTAGTTCAATGTTAAATGATGGAGTCTAGACAGGAAACTTCATGCCCTTCATCTCTGGAAAACTAGCTCCTCTCTGTGCAATTTCGCCCTGGTCATTTGGTGGTCTTCTTTTATATCTTTAAAATTGAGGGATTAGTTGAGTATATTCTATATTCATTTCTAGCAATGAAATTATATGATCTGAATACGAAATGAATTTGCAAAATTCAAGGACTCTGTCTTAATCAGTTTGGTCTGTTATAACAAAGTACCGTAGAGTGGGTGGCTTACAAACCACAAAAAATTACTTCTGGCAGTTTTGGAGGCTGGACGTCTGAGATCAGGGTGCCAGCATGGTTGGATTCTGGTGAGAGCTCCCTTCCCATTGCAGACTTCTACATTCTTGTATTCTCACATGGTAGAAAGGGAGCGACAGAGCTCTCTGGGTTACTTTTATCAAGGCACTAATTCTATTCATGAGGACTTTACTCCTATGACTTAATAACCTCCAACGTCTCCTTCTCTCACTACCATCACCTTGGAGGTTAGGATTTCAACATATGAATTTGAAGGGTGGAGGACAAATGTTTAGTTCATAACAGGCTCACATTAGTTTTAATTTTCTGTACTAATTCACTTTTATACTTCATATGCCCAACCATATCATTACATAAGGTAAATAATTTTCTTTGGTTCAAAATCAGAGGAAATACAGACAGTTTAATGCTGTAATCATGACCCAAAAAGCTCCTATTTGAACCTAAAATCCTCTTTCTATACCTGGCTGAAATCCTACCTTCTTTAAGAAAAGGATTCAGTTAATATAAAGTGTCACATTAAGAAAATGAACTCTATAGATTTTTACCAGCATCCAGTAATGAATATCCCTAACATAAATAACACATAAGCCTTTTCATGTTTATGCTGAAATCAGCTTTATTGGCTGCCTTTCTGTAAGACATATTTTTTTTTTTTACTCTATACTTAAAAGTTTTAAAATAACAGTTTAATATCAAAATTCCACTGTCAACAGACAGATTTTGTATTCTTCATCATGCAAACAGAAAATGGGTATATTTTGATTAAATAAAAAAGCTTAAAACTGAGCATAAAGCTAAGTTAATTACAACTATGGCAGTGAATGCACACGGTTTATAATAGATATTCAAATGAACTGTTTAAAATTGATTAGGTTCAATGTTTTCACTTCATCTGAATAATATTCAGCCCTAGAACTCTCCTGTGGCAATAGAGTATTAGTGAATAAAACTTAAAGTAAAAAAATCAACATTAGTCATGTAAATACTGTGTCATCACCAACCATTAAATCTTTTCTTGATATAACAACCTCAATTACTCCTCACTTTAAGTACTCAAATTTAGCATTTGACCTTTTATACCTATAGACTGAAAAGCTACAGTTAAATAATCAAATGTGGTAAAATGAGTTCAACCCCGTTAAATCAATTTTTTAAAAGCAGCAGTAAATGCAAGTCTGATTACAGCTGTTAACTCACTGGGTATCACTATTTGAATAGTCATTCACCAGAAAAAGAAAAAAGAAATAATGAATAAAATGAATCAAAACACAGATCACAGTTTTCTAGGGCATTAAAAAAACTGTTACATGATTTATACTTCTATTTTTTTTTATGCGATGAATGGCCAGCTGAATTACAGTCAAGAATGAGGCTAAGAGTATTTATTGCCACAGGTTCTTAAGAGACAAAGCTGTATACTTATGATAGCATGGGAATGAAAACACAAAGGTTGGGAAAAGGAAAATCTATGTACTTAGATTTGCATGGAAAAATGGAGGAACAAATCTCCCTCCCTACCAAACAGACAGAGGTGAAGAAAAGAAATCAACAAATTAGATAAAAATAATTTTAAAAAGTGAATAACAAATCCTAAGTGGTGGTTTATTGAAAGAGTAATAAAATGAACACATTCATGGACTGACTAGTTGAGGAAAATAACAAGGGAGAAGACACAAATAAACAAAATGGAGAATTCATTCATTTATTTAGGCCATTATTTATAAAACACTTACACTGTGTTGAGCCTAGGCATTACCATTCAGGACATAGGCATGGGCAAGGACTTCATGTCCAAAACACCAAAAACAATGGCAACAAAAGACAAAATTGACAAATGGGATCTAATTAAACTAAAGAGCTTCTGCACAGCAAAAGAAACTACCGTCAGAGTGAACAGGCAACCTACAAAATGGGAGAAAATTTTCGCAACCTCCCCATCTGACAAAGGGCTAATATCCAGAATCTACAATGAACTCAAACAAATTTACAAGAAAAAAACAAACAACCCCATCAAAAAGTGGGCGAAGGACATGAACAGACACTTGTCAAAAGAAGATATTTATGCAGCCAAAAAACACATGAAAAAATGCTCATCATCACTAGCCATCAGAGAAATGCAAATCTAAACCACTATGAGATACCATCTCACACCAGTTAGAATGGCAATCATTAAAAAGTCAGGAAACAACAGGTGCTGGAGAGGATGTGGAGAAAGAGGAACACTTTTACACTGTTGGTGGGACTGTAAACTAGTTCAACCATTGTGGAAGTCAGTGTGGCGATTCCTCAGGGATCTAGAGCTAGAAATACCATTTGACCCAGCCATCCCATTACTGGGTATATACCCAAATGACTATAAATCATGCTGCTATAAAGACACATGCACACGTATGTTTATTGCGGCATTATTCACAATAGCAAAGACTTAGAACCAAGCCAAATGTCCAACAATGATAGACTGGATTAAGAAAATGTGGCACATATACACCATGGAATACTATGCAGCCATAAAAAATGATGAGTTCATGTCCTTTGTAGGGACATGGATGAAATTGGAAATCATCATTCTCAGTAAACTATCGCAAGAACAAAAAACCAAACACCGCATATTCTCACTCATAGGTGGGAATTGAACAATGAGATCACATGGACACAGGAAGGGGAATATCACACTCTGGGGACTGTGGTGGGGTGGGGGGAGGAGGGAGGGATAGCATTGGGAGATATACCTAATGCTAGATGATGAGTTAGTGGGTGCAGCGCACCAGCATGGCACATGTATACATATGTAACTAACCTGCACAATGTGCACATGTACCCTAAAACTTAAAGTATAAAAAAAAAAAAAGAGCCCTCTTCAATATGATGGGTATGTCACAGTATAAAAAAAAATAGCCTAAACACCGTGCTCCCAGGGAAGTTTAATTAGAGTAGGCAGAGATGAATAAAGTTCAAAATAAATAGGAAACGAGGAAGTATGTTAGATGATGGTGAGTGCTGTGGCTCAAAATAAAGGGGAAGATGATAGCTGCAATTTTAAATAGGATGGTGCAAGAAGGCCACACTGAAGGAAGAATATTTGAGTCAACACTTGACTCGTGGGGAATGAGTAATGTGGACATCTGAGGAAAGACTGTTTCAGGAAGAGGAAAAAGCAACGCAGAATGAATTAGGGGAAATTATCAGAGACAGAATTATAGATAAAAATAATAAAAGCATATTATGAACAGTAGAAAAACAATAAAATTCAGTGATGTTTTAATGCAGAGCAATGATTAACTTAAAAAGACCTAATATGGTACAATTTGAGGAACCAGGGTAGTCCAGTTAGAGAGACAGTTGGGAAAGAGTAGGTTCTAGGAACTCCCAAATAGTTGTTTAGTTAGCTTTCATTTAGTGTGGGCTCTATAAGTGAAACCAAAACATAAAAATAAAATATTCCTGGCATGAGGATATTAGGAGATTGGCATTAGGACAGTTCACATGCTTCAAAAATATAGGCTTAAATACACTTTATTTTCACTGCCAGTGACAGGAGCATTATATGATGATTGCTTCAAAGCTGTGAATTCAGGCAGCCACAATGCAAATTATATTTGAGGAGCTGGAGACAGGTTTTCTCAAATAGATGTCCCAGCTAGAAGTAGGGATTTAGATACTTTACAAAGAACTTTGCAATTTATCTGTAGTTTAAAGTTTACCAGTATTTACATCTATTTTTGTTTCTTTTGCAACATATTTTATTATTTTTATTTTACATATAAGTTACATGACATGTAAGTATAATCGACTTATTCAGTTATAAATGTTGATGCTTGCATCCTATAGGAAATTCTGTGCGGGCCTAAGTTCACGGCTCAGGCTGTCAATTTTTGCTGTTGGGCATACAGAAAACAGGAATACATAAAAATAGAAGCAACAGAAAACAAAATTAGAAAATGAAGTGATTAAATTTACCAAAATTTAAAAAAGAATAAAAAATGTTTAGTAATTCAAGATTGTGCCTTCTGAGGACGAATAGTTCTATTGAAAGAAGCTATTATTAATTGAAGTTTCTGTAAATATACTCTTTATTCTTTTATTTACTCTGTTTTAAATCTAGCTTGTTAGAATTTATAACATCAACAGGTATAAGGGCTGCTATCCCAAATACTTCATGAAAGGTTTGGATAATGTTCTGTCAAAGTTGGTATGACCACAGTAAGTTCAGGTCATTTAAGAGCCTAATACACATGTTTTTAATAACAACTTGTCACTTACAATAATGTATGCACCTGGCTGTTAAGTTTAATTTTAAATTCAAAGAAAAGCTTTAAAAAATTGTCCCTTACTAAAGTTAATGAGATTTAAAGGTAAAGTCCAGTCTCACATTTTAAGCATTCCTTATGGCTAAATGTTGGGCAAGAAGTGAAATGATGTACACACTTAAAATGTGATTTCCTTTACAAAGAAAAAGGTTCAGTTAGCACTCAGGAGGCCACAGTTGTTTCCCTATTGGTGAATAACTTCCAGTTTTGCTCTGGGCAAGTGCTTTAATCTCTAGGACACAATCTGAGCACTATGAATAAACATATATATGCCACTTTCCCCTCATTAATGTTCGGATTTTGCAGTGCTGCCAGGAAAGAGCTTTAGGATTTTGTTTGTTTGTTTGTCTTCTCAGCTACATAGCAGAGCATAGTAGCCAACTTTATTCCTCAAAATGTTAGAGAAATAGTTTTGTTTTTTTTTTTACTATGGGGATTTTAAAATGGATACTGTATTGTTGCTGTATTATTAATTCAACTAAGAAGTTGGTTGAATAGCGTTTGGATTACTGAAAACTGGAATTTATGTACATGTAGAGATTCCTTTAATTTGTTTTCCTACAGTTGTGAAAGTGAAGCCTTATTTTGTTGAAAAATTTGAAAGCACACAAAAAAAACACAAAACCTATGTATTTTGGGGCAACAATACTATCATGTAATTCCTAATTATGTGATCCTGAGATGCTTGTTGCTTCTTTCCATTTTTTCTTTAAAGTAATTGAAATAATTAAAATGGGAATATTTATGTTATATATTCATACTTTTAAATTATTTTCCATTTAACATTATATCATAAGCATTTCTTATTTTCTCAAAACGTCTTTGAAAAATCACAAGTTTTAATTACTGCAACATATTTACTTCTTTGGAAATAACAGTGTAATCAATGTTTGTTAATTTTTCTCTTTATCGTTAACTTTTACAAATAATATTTTAGTAAACAACATTATTTAAATCTTTGCTTAAATCTTCCGTTTTTCTTGAGGTGAATTTATGGGTATTCTTAAAGAATAGCGTTACGATTATTTTGCTCCAATAAAGAGAGAAATTAGCAGAATGTAAACATTTAAAATATTTAAGTTTATATCACTCCTTGAGACATGGCATATATTCTTATAAAATCACTAAATACTTTTTGCTTTCTTGTTTCTAAGTTTCTAACTTTTACTAATGAAGACGAACAAATACAATACAACATAAAATAAGTTTAGGAGTGGAAAACTAAAGCCACTTAGGGGAGAGGTGTTTCTGCTGGTGTGATCTTTAGAGGGAAGAGGAGGGTCTTACTTCCATGAATGGAAGCAGGAAGCAGTTTAAGGAACAGAAATGCAAATGTAGGGGAAGGGAATGGGGTGGATAGACTCAGCCATGAGCTTTCTGGCCCAAACGTCTATGGGGCATACCCTGCTAGTTGAGAGGGTGCTTTGAAGATAATTCTCCCTTAACATAAGCTAATGAAGTTTTGGATCCAGCAAATAACTAATTTCACGGAAGTACTTACTAGCATAAAACTTATTACCAGCCACCAGCCATCTTGATGCAGACTGTGAGAACATCTCTTGGTGCCATAAAGAATTGGACAGTAAGGGCTTCAGGGTTTCTGCACACTTCTTTCTTTGTCCTCTAAATTGCCAATAGACACGTCTATTCTTCCAGGGTTAAAGGGTAAAAAGTATGTAATTCTATCTGCCCATTTAGGGAGATTAGGATACATTATTTATCACAGTAAATTTTTAACTGCCTGCAATGGATGGAATTAGAACAGCATATGAATATATTCAAAGCATTTGATTTTATAGTATTTATAAAGTATTTTTTTAATTTTTAATTTTAGTGGGTACATTGTTTTATATATTTATGGGGTACGTGAGATACTTTGATACCAGCATGTAATGCAGAATAATCACATCAGGATAAATGCAGTGTCTATCCCCTCAAGCATTTATCTTTTGTTACAACCAATACAATTATATTCTTTTAGTTATTTTAAAATGTACAATTAAATTATTATTGACTATAGTCACCTTGTTGTGCTATCAAATACTAGTCCTTAATAATTCTTTCTAGTTATTTTTGTACTTGTTTACCATCCCCACTTTCTCCCCCAACCCCCACTACACTTCCCAGTCTCTGGTAACCATCCTTCTACTTACTCTCTATCTTCATGGGTTCAATTGTTTTAATTTTTAGCTCCTACAAATAAGTGAGAACATAGAAAGCATTATTTTGATTCCAATATTTAAATAGATATTTTTCCTTAAGTGCAGAAAAACAAAAAATGAAAAGATTACCTTGACCCCATATCATCCAGCATATGTTACTGTTTACAATTTGATATAAATATATTTGATAAAATATATTTCTTCCAGTCTTCTAAATACACATTTTATTAATGATCTAAGGCTTAATTATGCTGCAGTAACAGAAAATTTAAAAAAAGATAAACAATGGTTTCTTGCTCAGACTACATGCGTGAGACCAGCTGGTGCTCATCTCCATAAGATCTTCAGTCCAGAACCCAGGCAATCAGCAGCTTCACATGTGGCAGTGCGGGGGAGGAAAGAGATAGAAGAAAATGAGACAAGATTTGCACCTGGTGCATGGAAGAGGCTCGTGTAACTTCTGTTTACATTTCATTGGCTAATTCAAGTCACGTGGTGGAACCTGGCATTAAAGAGGCAACCTAGCGTGTGGTCAAACTAGAGTGAAGGGGTGTGGATGCAAAAATTAACAAATCTTTCCATGATTGTGGAGCAGCTCTATCATGATTGAGAATTCAGCGCCAGTAGCAGCAGGGATCTTACTGTGTAATGACGGGTCATCAAAGCCAGGTAGAGCTTTGTAAGATTTTTTTACACTAACATTCATACTGGATCTTTATATTCTTTAGGAAAATAGCAGAATAACAGAATTTTAAGGTCAACTAGAATGAGTACAATAAATTTGTTTGTGGAATATATTAATATCTAAAAATAACTTTGCCGTATAAAGTAATGCCAATGTAATTTTTTCTTTTCATTACTGCATTTTGAATCAAAACAAATTTGGCACGTTAAGCAGTATAGGAAACAACTTGAATTTAGCAAAGAAACTTGTAGGCAATTCAAGTAAGCAAAACACTGTATCACAGCAATCTAGCCTAATTTATTCTCATTGGTTCCTCTTATTGTCACATATTGTTCCATTCATTCCATGATAAATTGTACCTCTCTGGGTCAGAAAAAAAGTATTCAAATAGAAATAATTTCAGCAATTTTCTGATGTCACACTCTGTTTTTTCTTCCACGTTTTGAATTATTTTATTGGGACGCATACCCCTATGAGCTCAAGTCTTATCACCAAAGCAGGTTGCTAACTAACTGGAGTTTCATATTATGCTGTTGTCATCATCTTCTTAGATGTTGTATCTTTAAGACAGTTTCTATTTGGCTAATGGCATTCTTTATCTCCTGTAGTTTAGGCTTACCTTAAGTGAACCAATATTGAATGTATTATCCTATTTTCACTATTTCCAATAAAGGCATGGCCTCAATCATAGATATATTAGGCTTCTTTTAGCAGAGCTAGTGCAAGTATAAAGGTAGAAAGAGAAAAACTACTTGGCAAACAGCTTAGTGAATTTTTGCATTGTTTACTTGAAAATGAATCTTGTTTTTGGTGGCCATTTCTCAGAAAACTTTACTATCACATATTTTTATGTCCTAATTATTCAATTCAGGTTTCTTTAGTTATAAAATCAGCAAAAAGGTCTGTTTCTATTTATTTTCACATAGCTAAGACTTATAAAATTGTGAATTTAGAAATTGCTAGATTGGAATTAATTTCATCTTATAAACCCAGCATACTCATTTAATAATAGAATCAAGATAAACAATTATAGGATAGACGAAAAAAATAGAAATTGAACTAGAACATTGAACAGAGTGCTAACTACAAGTTCTAACATTTTTGTTTTTGTTTTACATGTTCAAATATTCATGCATGCATAAAGTATTACGTGGAATTTAAATAATTTCTTTAAAATGGAAATATGTTGTATTTAATGGACACTAATTTGTTTTAAAACTACGGAATGAATCCAGGAAAGAGGTGCATGATTTAGTAGTTGCCTAAATTGTACCTTCTACAGATGTTCTGAGTTTATTAAAATTAGTTATTATTAATTAGTTGCATAAAATATTAGCATATCAAACTAAAACCAAAGGATCAAAACTCAAAATGTTAGGTAGATAAAAACTCTCATGGTTTTTTGTTCCTTCAGGGATTTATAAGAACTTTCAGTCTTTTGCAGTGCTATTGTGAAACCAACAACTGGTTGTTATTTTGAATCTCAAAAAGGAATTCGAATTTGGGGTCCTAACAGGAAATGACATTTACCCAAAGGAATTCAAATAAGGAAATATTTGAAAAAGTAAGAGGAAGATATATTCAAAGCAATATCTTTTTCTCTTTTGGAATATGGAATGCAGCTAATGATAGGTGTAGTTGTATTTCCTGACGTTAATTTTGTGTTACAGGTGAGGAGCCAGTTAAGAATGGTCTAGTCTGGGTGTTAATTATGCACAGAAATCCACTGGCTTTGTTTTGAAGATAGCTGGGAATTTGGGATAGGATTAGAGGGGTTATAATTGCGAAGGAAAGCCCTTGCTTTGACGTCTCTGACTTAGGTATCTATCTAAATATTGCAAAATAATTATAATAGGTGTAACCTGAACATTGGCTTTAGGCATAGTATGATTTTAGAGATGAGGAAAAGTTGTCCATATATGAATATCTGCCAACATTTCCCCCATCATCTCAGTGTTAACTTTCTTTTCTGAGAAATGAATTCATTCATTCTTTCTACAACCAGAAGTAAGGAAGATTCATCAGTTTTAGGTGGAGTAGAGAGGAAGATTCAGGTGAATTTCTTTTGGACAGGTGAGAAATTTCTAAAGCAGGGCCTCAAATTGGAACTTGTGTATGTTGCTGTGCAGGGAGGTGTAAGCAAGCTGGGTGGTCAGCCTGGGAAAGTCAGGTCTTTTGTTGCATCACAATTTATAGCCCTGACTTTGGGATATGTGTAATAATTTCGCAAGTATTTTCAGTCTCTTGGGCACAGTGGCTCTAAATGAAAGCGTGAAGAAGGTAGTTACATCAGCATACTCCCACCTGCTTTAAAATATTTTCTCCTTTCCCCACTTTGGCAAATGGCCTAAAGGTGCTGCTAGTTTCCATGTCCCACCTGGTATCCTAAAACTTTTCACCAGCTCTCTTTGATCTACGTTCCTCAGTGTCTTTTGAAGCCTGCTTTAAATCCTGGTATTCAATACTAATTCATTGACCATCGTATGGTCAATACCATACCAAGGATCTGATAAAATAATACACACTTATATACCAGTAGGTAAAAATATCTTTCTTTCTAGGATATTTTGCATTTTAATGTAGAGCACTCATGATTAACTTTAAAAGACCTAATGTGGTGGAATTTGAGGAACAAGGGTAGTCCACTTAGAGAGACGGCTGGAAAAGAGTAGGTTCTAGGAACTCCCAAATAGTTGTTTAGTTAGCTTTCATTTAATGTGGGCTCTATATTTGGGAATATAAGAGAAACCAAAATGTAAAAATAAAATATTGCTGTTATGAGGACATTAGGAGATGGGCATTAGGACAGTTAACATGCTTCAAAAATACAGGCTTAAATATGCTTTGACTTATTTTCACCACCAATGCCAGGAGCATTATATGATGATTGCTTCAAATTTGTGAATTCAAGCAACCGCAATGCAAATTATATTTAAAGAGCTGGATACAGGTTTTCTCAAATAGATGTCCCAGCTAAAAGTAGGGATTTTGACACTTTACCTAGAACTTTGCAATTTATCTGTAGTTTAAGGTTTACCAGTACTGATATCTATTTTTTCTTTTTTAACATATTTTATTATTTTTATTTTTATAAAATTCAACTTTTATTTTAGATATGGGGGTATATGTTTAGGTTTGTCACATGGGTATATTGCACCCAGGTAGTGAGCATAATACCCAAATAATTTTATCAACCCATGTCCCCCTCTCTCCCTCCCCTCTCTAGTAATCTGCAGTGTCTGTTGTTCCCATGTTTCTGTCCTTCTGTGCTCCATGTTTAGCTCCCACTTATAATTGAAAACATGCCATATTTAGGTTTCTGTTTCTGTGATAATTCACTTATGATTATGACCTCCAGCTCCATTCGTGTTGCTGCAAAGGGCAGGATTTCATTCTTTTCTATGGCTATGTTGTAGTTCATACTGTATATATACTACATTTTAAAAATTCAGTCCACCATTGATGGGCATCTAGGTTGATTCCATGTCTTTGCTATTGTGATTGGCACAGAGATGAACATATGAGTTCATGTGCCTTTTGGTATAATAACTTCTTTTCATTTGGGGATATACACAACAATGGGATTACTGGGTCAAATGGTAGCTCACTCTATACAGATATTAACTCAAGATGGATTTAAGATTTAAATGTAAGACCTCAAACTCTTAAACTTCTAGAAGAAAGCCTCTGAAATACCTTTCTGAGGCTTTCTTGGCAAAGAATTTTTGGCTAAGTCCCCAGAAGCAATTGCAACTAAACCAAAAATTGACAAGTAAGACCTGATTAAACTAAAGAGCTTCTACACAGCAAAAGAAACAAACTATTGATAAACAGACAACCTACAGCATGGGGAAAAATATGTACAAACTCTGCATATAACAAAGGTCTAATATCCAGAATCTATAAGGAACTCAATTCAGCAAGCAAGAAACAAATAATTCCATTAAAAAAAATAGGCAAAGGACATGGACACACACTTCTCAAAAGAAGACACACAAGTGGCCAACAGACGTGAAAACATACTCATCATCACTAATCATCAGAGAAATACAAATCAAAACTGCAATGAGATACTGTCTCACACCAGTCAGAATGTCTGTTATTAAAAAGTTAAAAAGAGAAAAAAAAGATGCTGGTAAGGGTGTTGAGAAAAGTTAATGCTTATCCACTGTTGGTGGCTATGTAAATTAGTTCAGCCACTGTGGAAAGCAGTTTGAAGATTTCTCAAATTTGTTTTTCATTCTTTATTAAAATTAAGATAATTTCTAATCAAGTTTTAAGTCAAAATTTAAAATAATTTAAACTTTAAACTGTAAAACTTTTCTTCAGTTTATTCTACACTTTAAAATTGTCTATCTAGTCCATTCACTTGAGACCATATTGTTAAAGGAATTAACAGTTAAATATTCCAGCAGGGTAGTCAAATGTACAATTAGATGTTTGAGGTTTCTTCCAGAATTTGGATCTTATATATCTCAGAAGACTATTCAGTAGTCTACTTTGATTCTATTACAGCGATGTTGTCTTCTGTTTCCTGTTCATAAACCTGCTTGGAGGAGAGTTTCCAATTTATGCCAAGACTGCAAATTAGCACAAGCTGCTGCTGCTCTCCAGCAAATCAACCCGAGGGAAACTCGGGGGGAGAAGGAAAACTCGATGCAGACTCATAAAAATGTGAGAAATCCTTAGGAAAAAAGACAGCTACTTTGAACTGGTATGTGGCAAGGCAGGTAGATGGCTGCAGCTGACAGCAAAGGGCTTTTGGCTCAGCTGTTAAAGTAGAAATTAGAAAAGAGCAGTTGAAATACTGTCTTGGCTTCCCCTTTGCCTTCTTTTTTGTTGCAGGATTTGGCAATGGTTGCCCATACCTTTGAAGGCCAATACTTCCAATGGCCCATCCTTCTGTAGGGATAAAATCAAGGGAATGCAAAATCCCTGACAGGGTGGAGAATTGAGGAAAACTAATGGATGAGGACTCAACAGCCTTGGCTTTCTCTCTTTCATTCATTTTCCTCCAAACTTCCAGGGCTGATGGATGACAATTTAGGCAGTCTTCCTTTTCCTTGGTGTTTGAATGTAGAGTGTTGACTTGAAAAGTTACTTGGTGCGGTGAAACCAAATTGGAGTGGTTAATTCTGGTTTGTGGTAACTTGAGTTCTTCACCTGAAAGCCCATCCCTTCATAAACCTTTGACCTCTAAGGATTGACCTAGATTCCTTCTTCTGCCCCTCCCCTGTTCATATTAACAGCCAACGTATCTATCTCTTCAGGGATAAGCCAAATTAATAATATTATTAAATGCCAAAATACTAAGATATAACTTATTTAAATTGAACATTTCAGAAATATATCTTCCTTAAATTAAAAAATGTAAATTGGACAACATATCATAAGTATTAAAATGGAAGAGTCAGAATTTGAAATAGAGAAAATATGCAACAAGGGAAGGATATTACCAATAGGAAACAAGAATAAGATGTAATGAAAAATAATCAAATAGAAACACTAGGTGCAAAGAAGTTAACAGCTGAATAAGAAGCATAATAGATTGCATATGAGAATGAATATAGCTGAAGAAAGAATTCATCATTTGTAAGGTGGGATACCAGCACATTCCTAGAAGGAAACAAATACGATCGAACAGCTGAGAAATATCCATAGAAGTGCAAATATCCAGATATAGAAGTTCTAGACAGAAAATAATAATAAAGGTAATTTCTAGGAATTAAAATTCAAAAGTCCATATAATTAAAATATCCCTTACAGTATAAAACAAAAAAAAGCCTTAGGCTTATTGCAATGGCTTTTTTGGATGAAGTGATGTAGAGGTGATATGCAAACTTCTTAGGGTCACCAGATATGGACACTAGTTGTCCAGTAATCGCTGTGGGGTATACAGATGATACTCTGTAAGGCACTTTAAAGCAGGGTAGGGGTAAATTTGCTAATGGGAAAATGTGACTGGAGACATCTTTGGTGGTATACAATAAATACAGACTCTCTTGAAGTAATGAGAGATTGTTGTTCTGATCAAGGAAATTGTTGAAGTAGAAGTTTTGGTTCCCTCTAACTCTCTTTTCCAAATTCTTGTCTGGTCAGTACTTAAGACAGATGGATCCTGGAGGTTACCAGTATGAAGGATTGAACAGGTTGGTATTTCTGATTACCTTCATTGTAACTGATATTGTAAAGGCTATAAAGGAAGTACCACAGATCACGGGGGATGGTATGCTATCTTTAAGAAAAACTTTATAGACAAATTAAATTTAGTAGACTTTATTTGAGCAGAGAATGATTCACAAATTGGACAGCACTCAGAACCAGGGGAGGTTCAGGGAACTTCGTCCAGCCATGTGGCAAGCAGTTTTTATAGACAGGAAAAGGAAGTAACATACAGAAACAGCTTTATTGGTTACAGTTGAGTGTTTGCCTAATTTGCGTCTTGTGATGAGGCATTGGCCCTATATGGACATGGTCTGATCAGTTGGCAGCCTGTGTTTGTTTGGAGCTTAGTGGCTGTGATTGGCTGAGACTCAACTATTTCTTACAAAAATAAACTCTTAGGTTGCAGTTCATTCTTAGGGATTCAATGTATGAAGGTTGCTTCAGGCCAAATTTAATTTAATTTAGCACTATTATAGCCATTCCAATTTGGGAACCCAGCCAGTAACAATTTGCATTCTTGTAGAAAGTGAATCAGTATTTATTTCATGCATTGATATGGGGATTTTAAAATTTACTAGCATTTTGCCATATTCTCATGAAGGATTTGGAGTTAAAAATCACTGATAGAAAGTCAGTTTACTACACTGACAGTATGAGAATTGCCTCTTCAGAGAAAGATCAGGTTGAGCTAAAGAAGAGAGGCACCTAAATGAAAAACAGAGGCTGGCTGATAAATCCTGCTAAAATTTAAGCGGGATTTATTAAATTAAATAAAATTTAATTTATTTATTCCAACCCATGAAATTCTGAAGAATGTATATAGACAGGAGAAACCAGAGATAGTTCTTCTACTTTGAGAAATAAATTACTGGTTCTCTCATATACTGGAAATAGGCAGGAAACTTAGAGACTGGCAGGGCTTTTGGGGTTTTGGTTGAATCATATTTATCTATTAATCCTGTTGGCCTGAACCGTAATGTCACTAAAAATAAATCTGAATTTGAGTGGGGCTTTTGCAGAAACAAGTGTTAAAGATATACCAAGGGTGTTGGCACAGATATTTTCACTGGACACTTACGATCCATCTACTCAGATAATATTTGAAGTTGTTGTAACCAGTACATATGCAGATTGCAGGAATTTGCAGAAATTGAATAGGGCTATTCAGTGAGTTCTCTTGAAGTTTGGCTAAAACTGCTGAGTTGTTTAGCATATACAACTCAGGAGAGAAAAGTGAGATTGTTACTGAGGGTTGGTTCAAACCACTCCCACTACTGAAGGGCATCAGAAAATTCTGAGGACAGAAATACTGATTGCGCCATGGGTGATATCAGAGAGACATTCAGATAGGAGGAGTGCAGCATAGCAAAGCTTGTTCACAAGGTAGAGACAGTATATTAGAAAGATGCTAAGAGGGTAACTTCAGGGGAGCCTACAGTTTATATTAGCAGTTGCTTCGCTGACTATAGAACCAAAAATAGAGCCCACTAAGGATACTGTGTAGTCTGGGTCTTACCATTCTCTCCCAGTCATGGAAAAGGTGGCTTCTTAGTCCACTGAAAGGATCCTCTAGAGTGAGAATACAGAATAAGGGCCACAGGGCCGTTTTGTAAAGCCTTGAAGAAGAAAGCAAGTTCGGGTTTGCACAAGGGCAATAGCAGTGGAATTAGCAGAGGGAGGCTTGTTAGACTTTCACAGGCGAGTGTTTGGATATTTACAGACTCTTGCACTTTAACCAAAGGTCCTGCTGTATGATCTGGGGAAATGGGCCCTAAATGAATGAACAATGAAGAACGTATCTGCATGGTTTCTTGTGTGGACATATCTGGAAGCTTACTGGAAAAATTAAAGTGATTGACTTTAATACCTGCCCACAATAACAACACAAATCCCAGGTCTTCTGACTTCTGCCTAAGAATGTAGACATCTAGAAGGAGTACCCATCTGCCTTCTAGCAAGAGAAAGATAGATGGTCCTCAAAATCCTAATTTTTCTGGAACCTATTGGAGAGCTAATGCTGCAGGACAACAAGTAGCCTGGCATCTGAGGAAAGACAGGTGCCTCTGCGGACAGATAGAGAACAAGCATGGATTCACCTGTGTAAGAGCATAAGAGTAAGAGAAGGCCACCATACAAGTGAATAAAAAGAAGTCACAGTGACTTTTAATTAATTTTCAAAGACTGCTTCTCTGATACTGTGAGAGTATGGAAGCTATGAAGACAGCCAGTTGCAGGCTTTTCTCCATAGACTTCACTATGTGCTGATGAAAAAAGTTTATTGGCAGGGCAGGTACTAATATAGACTACTTTGGAGATGCAGCCTGAAGAAGAGGTGCATCCACTGCTGTAGGAAACACAGGAACCCATCTTTGGTTTCTTCTCACATAAGGAAAAAAGACTTTTAAGATGCTGGGGAATAGCAGAAAGCTCTTGGCCCAGTGCAAGGAGAAGATGTCTCCATTGTAGGTAGGGGAAGGAAAAAAAAAAAAAAAAAGGAAATACTTTATCCATAGGTCGAAGCAAGAAATGTGCTCAGAAGAGCCCAGACCAGTAAAGGTCTCCTTCCATTGAGTTGGAAGAAGCTCACTGAGAAAATCCATATTCTAAGACTCAGGGAGACAATGACTGCTTAAACTGAGGCTGAATCAGGATGACAGAGAACCTCGTCCACAACCGTAACGCCTCAACCTCCAAGACAGAAGCAACAGATTAACACTGGAGATGACTAGAGAATTTCCCTGTGAGGGGCAGTGGCACAGGGAAGCCCTAATGAGTGGAGCAGAAACATCGTGAAAACCCACCAGCAAACTATCTCCAACCTAAGAACAAACAGGAATTTAAAGACAGTGGTGAACAAAACTGAAAATTGGGCTCAACTCTTGAGATAAATTTACTCACCTTCCCACAATAATAGCCTAGCAGAAGACAAATGACATTTACCTAACACATAAATACTACTTTTATCAGTCTCTACCACTCTGAACACTATGTCTGGAAATTAATAAAAAAATTAACAGACACAAAAATCAAATTAAAAACAAAACACACAACCCTTACTGTCAAGAGACAAAGTAATGAACTGAACAAGACTTAGAGATGATCCAGATGTTGCAACAATCAGACAGGTAATTGAAAATAACTATGGTTAATAGGTTAAAGGTTGTAAACAAAGATGTACAACATGCATGGATAGATAAAGATTTCAGCAGAGAAATGAAAATGACAAGAAAGAGCCCCAGGAAAGTGCCAGAAATGAGAACCTCGATAAGAAATATGAAGAATGCCTTGGGTGGGCTCACCAGTAGACTTGACACAGCTAAGCAAAGTGATAGAGGATGTGAAAGTCAGTTAATAGTAATTACCTAAACTGTCAAATGATAAAAGAGTGAAGAAAAAAGGAAACAAAACACTCAAATGCCGTAAGAAAATATCATTAGTGTGATATATGTGTCATTGAAATCCTAGAGAAAACAGAGAGAGAATGTGAGGCAGAAGAAATATTTGAAGAGATAGTGGTTACAAAATTTTAAAGAATAATTTATCAAACTATAGATATAATAACTTCAGAGAACCCAAAGTAATTGATTGGATAGTAATTGATTGACTAGAAATCAATAATGAATTCGCAGATGTGAACAGTATTATCAAAGCCTTCACCAACCAAATCGACTTTTATTGAACACTAAATATAAGCAGAATATACATAATTTTCAAGTGCATGTAGAACATATAGTATAGTCTATATATCGTGGTTCTGGCCATAATTCAAACCTCAATACATTTAAAAACATGTACATAGTATATTCTTTGATCATAATGGAATTAAAATAGAAATCACAAACAGGTATCTGGAATAATTGCCGAATATTTTTACTGATGAGCACACATCTAAATATCACTTTAAATGGCAAAAACCACAATTTTTTTTTTACCAACCTAATAACTCACAGGTCAAAGAGAAAATCATAGGGGACATCTGAAAATAATTTGAATTGAATAAAAGAAAATAATCTCTCTCTCATGCAAAATTTGCGGGATGCAAATAAAGCACAATTTAAAGAGAAATGTATAGCATTTCATGTTTATATGAAAAAAGTCTTAAATCAGTGATTTAAAATTCCTCCTTAAGAAACTTGAAAAAAGTAAATTAAACCAAAGTAAGTAACTGCAAAGTAATAATAAAGAACATAAATAAAATTGGAAATGGAGCAGCAGAGAAAAATCAGTGAAAGCCTATGATGAGACTCACCAACAAGGAAGAAGACACAAATTATTATATCACAAATTAAAAAGAGGACATTGTTGCAGACCCTACATACATTATATTCTCTATAGATATAGAAAAAAATTATATTCTCTATAGATACAGAAAAATAATTTTACAAAATTCAATATTCATTCATGATAAACTCTAAATTTTAGGTAGAATGGAATTTACCCAACATGATAAGAAACAGCTACAGAAAACCTACAGCAAACATCATACTTACTGATAAAAGACTGAACCCTCACTCTAAGGCAAAAGAAAAATGTTCTTACCACCCACATTTAACATTATACTGGAGGTTCTAGGCAGTGTAATAAGAAAAAGAACTAGGCATACAAATAGAAAAAAAAATATGTGCAATTGTAGTTATTCACTTTCAACATGATTGTATTTGAAGAAGATTTCAAAGAATGTACAAAACAAAGTTACTGAAGATACAAGATCACAATTTAAAAATTTAATGGTATTTTTAGGTACTGACAATGAACAGTAAGAAATGGGAATACCACCATTGATGGTGGAAAAAGATGAGCTACTTAGGTATAAATGTAATAAAATATTTAAAAGATGTGTATGGTAAAGGCTACAAAACAGTGAAGAAAGAAATCAAAAAGGCTGAAATAAATGGAGAGGCATATTATATTCATGTATTGAAAGACTCAGTAGTGTTAAGATGCCAAATATGTCCAAATTCCAAGTTGATCAAATCAGTAAATACAATCCAAATCAATGTCATGGCAATATTTGTCATAGAAATGCACAAGAGATTATAAAATTTATGTGGAATGGCAAATGAACAAGAATAACCAAAATTGTTTTGCCTAGAAAAACAAACTTGACATTCACATGCTGCCTTATTTCAAGACTTTTTATAAAGCTAGAGATAGTAACTCAGTATGGAATTGGCCAATGAATAGGCATATAGAGTGTAACTGAAATGAGAGTCCAGAAACAGACTCACACGTATACAGTAATTGACATTTGCCAAAGTGCAGAGGCAAATAAATGGAACAAGTGATAGTCTTTTCAAAAATTGTGCTGGAATAATTTCACATCCGTATGCAATAACTTTTTTAAGTTAGTAACAAACCCTAAATCTCTTTATCATCTGTTTTAAGTAACAAGTATTTTAATTGTTTCATTTTATATCCATGGAGTTAGAAAATATATGTGATATTTTCCAGGGAGCCATTTCTTATAAATCCACAGACTGTAGGTTTCTTTACCATAAACAATACTAACTAGAAACATTTTAGTCAAAAGATTTCTGAGATTAGGATTTTTCTCCTAGTAAGTACCATTGGTTTATTTACCATAAAGTCTCTTGTTTACACGTTTACAATACAATGTGACCAGATCATCTGCCTTCTTTCTTTCTCAAAATTGTCCTCCAGATATGGTAATGAAATGATTGAAGAGTAGCCTTATAGCCTCTTCCTTTCCATATCCCTTCCAAAGCCTGTTAGAATATGTTCTGAGGTAATTATTTCAAAAGGAGTTCATAGGAGGTCAACTTTGAGTTCTTGCTTGTTTGGAAAATTCTTTATTATGCCTATGATTCATTTATAATATGTCTGGGTATATAGAATTCAGAATGCTTTTTGTTTTGTTGTTGTTGGTTTTTGGCTTGTTTGTTTTCTGTCATTTGTTTGAATCCATTGCTGCTTGTTGTTCTAGGAGAAAGTGTTACAGCTGAGAAATACGGCAGTGGTCTTATGTTCATTCAATTGTAGTCAATTTGATTTTTTTTCTTGGAAATTTTAGGCATGCTTGCGTATGTGTAAAAATGCCCTGAGGTTTAAATTAATGACTTGTGTATTTACAACCAGTATACTTTCTTCCCTTTACTATATGTATATGTGTTAAGCTTCAATTAAGGGGTTAAGAAAAGTAAAGTTTTATACAATACAATAAAGCTGTAAATTTTAAATTTCAAAATAAATTTTAAGAAACATATGAAAGTATGAGCCCCGCCTTTTTTTTGGTTAAGAACTTCTATTTAAGGGCTATCACTGATTGATAACCAGTGTCTCTCTTTTCTTTTCTGGTTCATTTTATGCTTTATTTTCTCTTATACATTTTCTCACTTTCACTTTATGTAACTCTCATTAGATAAATACTGAAAGTATTCAATACATCCTTTCTGTTTCTTGTTTCTTTCATATATTTTATATTTTGATCTCATTCTATATTCTAGATCTCAGATTTATTTTCTATTCCTTCACTGTCCAAAACAATAGCCCTTAGTCATAGGTAACTATTTAAATTTACATTAACTTAATTAAAATTAGTTATAAAATCAGTTTTAAAATGCTTTATAGCCAATGTGGCTAAGGGGTACCCTACTGGACAGCACAGATGTAGGGCTGTTCCATCATTATAGAAGGGTCTATTGGACAGTCTTATTCTAGGCTATATCTATAGAATAATTTCATGCTTGATATTTAAATATCCTAGACTCTGAATGTTCAGGTATTTCATTGAAAACTATTTTTGTATTGTTAAAGGAATATTTTTTCAACGCTTTTTAAAATACCAATTTCAGTTCTCTTTCCTTTCCTTTCTACTCTCTACTTCTCTTTCATATATTCTGGGCAAGAGAACATTACTTGTGATAAGTCAAGCATTCTTGGAGACCTTTTCTTATTTCTGAATCATCACTTTTGAAAGTCAAAATATAAGAAATTGGATCTTTTATTGTCTATATCCCTCCATTTTTTTTTTTTTTTTCCCCTGAGGACAGAGCCCCGGCTCTGTCAGGGAGAAAAATACAGGAAGAAGGACTGAAGTTTGACTGATTTTTCCATTAGAAAAACATAACTTAGAACTAACTTACAGTTAGAACTCTGTCTTGAATAGCTTCCGTTTCAGGTATAGCATACATTTATTTTGTGCATATTCTGGATGGCAACTTCCTCTGCTCTAATTTATTCATGAACTCAATTGTATCCTCTTTATGTCTTGCAGAAACCTGTTCACATATAAAGTAGTTTGATTTAGGCTAACACACTCTTCCATCACAGCTTTATTGTATTACATAAAACTTTACTTTTCTTAACCCATTAATTGAAGCTTAACACATATACATATAGTAAAGGGAAGAAAGTATACTGGTTGTAAATACGCAAGTCATTAATTTAAACCTCAGGGCATTTTTACACATACATAAGCTTATATAACTCCATCACCCTCTTATGTTCTGTTCTGCTACTTCCATGTCATTAACTACCTTTCTTCACTCCCACCAATGAGGTAACCTCTATTCTGACTTTTATTACTATAGACAAGTTTTGTCTGTTCATGAATTTTGTATATGTGAAATCATAGTTTGTGTCATTTTTTGGTGAGTAGCTTCTTCCACTCAACATAATGCTTGTAAGCTTCATCCTTTCTGGTGCATCTATCAATAGTTTTTATCTTTCTTTTTAAAACTGCAATGTAGTAGCCCATTGTATGAATATATCACTAAATTATTTAAATTGAAAATGGAGGACAGGACCTTGTATGTGCTCAGTCAGCTATCTTGCATGAAAGTTGTATGGTTCTCATAATACAGTACATCAAATGTGTCTTATGTTGTATGTGGTTATACTGTCACCCTCAAAAGACTGAGTGACTTGAGTAGAGAAATATGGACTGTTATATTTTCTATGTTTTAAAAGTGTCTTACATATATTATGTAGTTAGAATTCAATTAATATATGCTCAAAAGCAGAAACTTTAGGTGCATTTCTGCATCAAAAAAGAGGTTAAATTAAAAATAATACATTTTATTCCCTCACCAGCTAAGTAGGATGTTTTTAATATCAAATGGTATAGCAAATTAAGCATATTATTTATGTGTGCTGATTTATATCTGCTCCCAAATTACACCCCATTTTGAGGATTTACTTAAAGTCTAATAGCACCGAAAAGAAAATTTTAAAACATAGCATTTTTTTCAATCTGTATTATAGAAACTTCCAGAGAATGTATAATTTACATAAGCATTGCTGTAGTGAACTGGTTTGGTAGAGAAAAAGTCTAAAAACATTTACAGCATAAATTGTTGTTGCTGACCATTCATGATTACTGTTACTGACATTTTAGAGTACAAGATGATTTAAATTAACTTTTCCTTGAATGGTCTATTTTCATAAATAGATGTAATAGGGGCTATTATAGCATTTTGACAACGCATTAGCATTTCAGAGAAGATACATTGAGTAATACTGTTTATCATTTTGAACAGACCATGTGTGGTCAGATAGCATCTGATCTGCAAAGGCAAACTAAGGGGGGAAGATAGATGTTGGGAAATATCTATGAGCTATTACTTGCCCTCAAGGAGCAAGAGCCTCTGCTTTGCAGATTATACTGTAATTGTGTCCTTTGTTCATTGTTTTAGTATTTTCTCTTTATATATAAATATATTCAGTAGCTAGTATTTTTGTGATAGATTTTCTAGATACAAGAAGAGATTTTAGCTTAAGACCACATATGCTTGTTTCTAATGCATTAAATTCAGACACGTTAAAATCTGGGGATGTGCTGAGGAAAACAAAATACTATTAAAGTTTCTGTGTCTCTGTAATATCCCCAGGGAGATTTCTCTCAGCTGAAAAGTTAGCTTTCACAAAGCTACTTCTAAAGCCATTCAGTGGCTTGCCTCCTGTTAATAGAACTTTAGTGGAAATAAAACCTAATGCATAAGGCAAAACAACAACAAAATTTCTATTCAAGACTTTCAAAAAGCTAAAGTATAAATTAGTGGCAAAATAAAAGTGAAGAATGCATCAACATTAATTAATATTTGAGGTAGGATTTCACATGGAAAAAAGAATACTTCCTTCAGGTGTGGTTACAATGTCATTTCTATGGCCAGTGAAGGAGGTATTTCATGTTTATATGTGAACACAGCACTCTTAAGTGGCAAACAATAGAATGTGGATTAGAAAAAAATTCCTCATGTTAATCAATTATTGAGATAGCAGTTGTGAGGATTACTCCATAACTATCTTGTCCTGAAAAGGAAAATGAAATTGTTTATAATTAATTTAATTAAGGCCAAAGCTACATATGGTTTTTATGATCAGAAATCTGCTTTGGTTGAGATTCATTCTAATCCTCTGCATGCCAGAGAGACAGCTAAACAGGACCCAATGTGGACATTTTAATCAAGTAGTAAAGGAAGTAATGAATACACAAATAGGTACAAAGAACACTATGTTTTGTCATTTATCTATATGAATTTTAAGCAAGTTAACTTGCTTTTGTATTGTCTGTAACAATAGATATACTCCTAATTTTCAAAAGAGTTTTGCTAAATAAAAGGGATAAATATTAGGAAACTATTCAGACAAATGCCTGAAACAGAGTAAGCTACACATCATTTTCAATTTTGGCTTTGTTTTGAAATAGACAATCTTTATTGACAGACAGACATATAATAAATGCACATTTCTTAACCGTATTTTGACAAAAATGTAGATCATTTACTGAAAAAATAAACAATGTAGGATTAAACATATACTTTTCAGGATAGTGTCTTTGAATAAGGGAGCTAAAGCTTCTGGTTTTCAAACATGGCTTTCCTTGGAAACATCAGAATATTTTCTTGGGTTCCCCTGTCTGGAGTTGGTTATCTCATAATAAATATTTGTAATTTTTTATAGCTTTCCATTTAAGGGAATGAATTACCTACTTTTGTACAAATTGCATATTTGTTGGAATTTTCCAATAATCACAGTCTCAAAATAAAAGTAAGTTTTTAGAGAATAATCAAATAAATCCCCCCGTTCCCCCCTCAAAAAAAAAAAATACTTGAGCAAATTATTTGGAGGGATTTGGATGGAAAATACCTTTAGAAATATACTCACTGTAGCCTTGGTCTCCTGATAAATGGATCCTAAATCACAGGAAATTTGGCCACCAATTATTCATACATTTATTTATTATGCTAAAGAGTAGTTAACTCTTCTTAGAAAAATCACAAAACAGTGTTTCTTGTACCAAAAACGAGTGATTGTTTCAACCTTGCTTAGATTGAATTCAATAACTTACTCAATTTTTACAGGATGTGAAATTGATGTTGCAACCATGAACCTCCCCTCCATTTTTGAAGAAATGTCAGAATAGTTTGATTTTAAAGAATATTCCATTTATAAATATATTCTATACATATGTTTTTCTTGAGACTGTGATTTGGAGTAATAGGGCAAAATAATGTGAAAATAAGCTAAAAAGCTAGAAATATAATTGAAATATAAAACAATATTTTGAGAAAATTAAGCAAATCCAATTCATGATCATGAAATGAGAAAATCTTATCTGTCACGTTCCAGAAATTCAATAATATTTACATCGTATTTATGCATAACATGGTGATCCTCTATATAAAATAAGGATAATAGTAATATCTACTATTGCTATTGGGAGGATCATATAAATTAATGAATCAAAGCAAATAGAACAATGCTTGACACTTAGTAAACGCTGAAAAAGGTTACTGGTTCCTTAATTGTATGGAGTTTCAGTTTTAAACTAACTCTACTGTGAATTTTAATTTTGCTTTGGACATTTTAGTTTCTTGGAAATCTTTCATGAACCTCAACTCCATAATTATGTCTATTTGTGTTTGTATTTCCCTGATGGAAACAGTGCTCTGGTGTTCAGTATGAGGCTTCTGGAGCCAGAATCTCTTGGTTCAAATCCCAGTTCTACGAATTCACTTTTGTACAATTAAGGACAAGTTACCTAAATCTTTTGTTTCTCAGTTTTCATATCTGCAAAACTGGGAGAGGAGTAATAACAGTTTCATAGAGCTGTAGGGGGAATTGAATTTATAAATTGCCATAAAAATACTTTAGGCTATCTTGCGACTTTAACTGTTATTTTCACTTAAAAAAATAATAAACAAGCTTTATTCCTCTACATGCTTTTCTGTTCTTGTCTATTAGCATGTCTTTTGCATCTTCTCACAGGAGAGCAAGCTGACATTTTATTTTAAGTTTCTTTTTATTTTATGTTAAAGCATTTTTATGTCTGCTTTTCAATATGACTCCTTTATATGCTTTAAAAAGTAGATATAAATGCTCACTTCTCTTAGGGACAGGAGAGATTTTATTGGGCCCCAAATTTGCTGTTGAGGTTTTAGAAAATTTGTAGATCACACTTGACTTGTTCACTTAGCTCATGAGCTGGCTGAATCCTTTTTCCTGTTTATGGCTGAACGGAGTTTGAATATGAGCGCTTTTTTTTTTTGAAACAGACTTTCGCTGTTGTTGCCCAGGCTGGAGTGCAGTGGCACGATCTCAACTCACTGCAACCCTGCCTCCTGGGTTCAAGTGATTTTCCTGCCTCAGCCTCCCGAGTGGCTGGGATTACAGGCATGTGCCACCATACCCGGCTAATTTTGTATTTTCAGTAGAGACGGGGTTTCTCCATGTTGGTCAGGCTGGTCTCAAACTCCCAACCTTAGGTGATCCACCCACCTAGGCCTCCCAAAGTGCTGGGATTACAGGCATGAGCCACCGCATCCTGCCATAATATGAGCGCTTCATAAACCAACATACTGCAGGGTTGCAAGCCCTTAGTGGATTCTCTCTTAATTCCAGTGATTACTTCTTTGATGGAATCTGCGGAGGAACTATCAAACTCTAATGCTTGAAATCAGATACTCTTTCTTTCATGTGATCAGTAGTAATCACTCTTTTGTTTTTCATGAGTTTTATGAGTTTCTGGTTCAATGCAGTCTCAACCTCCTGGGTTCAGGTCCAGCCTCAGCCTCCTGAGTGGCTGGGACTATAGGCACACACCACCATGCCCACCTATTTTTTAATTTTTTGTAGTGATGGGGTCTCACTATGATGCCCAGGCTGGTCTCAAACTCCTGGGCTCAAGTGGTTCACCCACCTTGGCCTCCCAAAGTGCTGGGAATACAGGTATGAGCCAGTGCACCACACCCTGCGACTCTTAAATACAAATGTCTATTGTTTGTATCTTTGGAGAGAAGGGTCCACGCTTCTTTTTACCCATCGATCTGAAACTAGGAAAAGTGGTTGGTTTATATACACGTGACACAAATTCTTTCTCCCTTATTGTGGACCACCTTGTCTGGAGCACACTGTGTTCCTCACTCCTTCCTACAACACTGAGGCATCTCTGTCTCTCTAAGGTGACAATATACCATTGCCCATGTATTCTGATTGTGACCACAGGGTAAATTTACTTGTGGGGATAAATTATTTGGAAGCTTATTTCTAGCCACAGTTCAAGGTATGTTCTGTAGACTAATTTTATCAGTGATAAAGTTAATGTTTTTAATACTCCTCTGACTTAATTCTCTGCTTGCTTTCCCCCTTTTCTCTTTCTTCTCTCCTTTCTCTTTTTCTTCTTATCTTTCTTCCAGTGTTTTTCCCTCCTCTTCCTTCTGTTCCTTTTCTTTTGTAAATGTTCTATGTCCCATTAAAGGGGTAGTGCTCTATAAATATGAATGAGAAAGGGTTAGCAAAAAATGTTTAAATATTTCATAGCTTCACTAATGTTTTATTTTGTTGTTCTGTTAGTTACTGACAGAGATGTGTTCAAACTCCAAACTCAGGTTAAGAATTTTTAAATTACTCCTCTTAGGTCCATCAATTTCTATTTTGAAGCCCATGTTATTAAATACTTACAGATTCAGGATTATTATTTCTTTATGATGAATTGGACCTTAATCATTATGAAATTCACTTTCTCTAATAATATTTTTCCTCTTTAAACCTATTTTGTCTGATATTAATGTAGCCACACCATGTTTAGGTAACGTTTTCACGTTACCTAAAGGAATACGTTAGGTATTCCTTTTCCCATACTTTTTCTTCCGACGTAAGGACTTCCTGTGTCCTTATATCTAAAGTGTAAACAGCATAGATTGGGCCTTTTTCAGAACTCTTTTGAAAATTTACACACCTTTTAATTGAGGTGTGTAATTCATTTACATTTATTCCAATTACAGATGCATTTGAGCTTAGTTCTGCCACCTTTCTTTTTGTTTCCAATTTTACAATCTTTTCTTTGGTCCTATTGTTACTTTTCCATTCCTTCTTTTGGGTTCATTAAGATAAAGAAAAAAACGACTTACCTCTTTTATCAGCATTTTATCACTATGTTTTAAAAATTCATTTATTGGTCGCCTAGAGATTACAATATGCATTTTTTCTTTTTATAATTTGCCTTAATGATTTTACAACTTTCCATACAAGAAACTTCAAACAGTAATTTCTTTTACCTGTACCCCTACCTTTGAGCTATTTTCATATATGGTACTTCAATATATCTTATCAACCTCCAAGACATTTATACTGCTGGTCTAAGCACTTAAGATTATTTTATATTTACTCTCATATTTGACCTTTCTGGTTCTCTTTAGTCCTTTCTAAAGTTTTGTCCTTTTTCTCTGGTGTGAGACTACTTATGACAAATGTTCTTGTCTTGACCTCACCTTAATTGTTGGAACTCTTTGTTTTGTGACTTACAGGAAAGTTCCAAAGATAGTACTGATTATTCCTATATGCCCTTCACTCAGTTTTCTCTAATGTTAGCATGTTACGTAATCATGGTATAATTTTCAAAACTAAATAATATGATACTATTGGCTAAACTATAGACTTTGTGTGGATTTCATAAATTTTTACATCAATGTCTCTTTTTTGTTTAAGGATCCAATCTGGGACACCACTCTGCATTTAGTTGTCACGTCTATTTTGTCTCTCCCAATCTTTCTCAGTCTTTATGTGTTTTTTTATAATCTTGATCTTTTTGAAGAGTACTGGTCAGAAATTTTGTAGAATGTCCTTCATTTGGGGCTTGTCTGATGTTTTCTCATAATTAGTTGAGTTTCTATATTTTGGGAGAATGCTACAAAGGTGATGTGTCCTTATAATTTCAAGAGTAGCATGATATCAACATGACTTATTGTTGGTGATGCTAACCTTAAAATCACTTTATTACAGTGATGTCTGCCAGTTTCTCTACTGTGAAGTTACTGTTGTTCCCTTTCTATACTCTCTTTGTTGAAAGTGAGTCATTAAGAAAAGTAATTCCACACTCAAGGAGAGACAAATTAAGTTCCACCCCCCTAAAGAGAGAATTACCAAAAACTTCATGAGTGTATATTAAAATCACAACAAGAATTAAAAAAAAAAGGGCGATATTTGAATCTAGGCCACTATCCTGTTCTTGAAATTTTGCTACCCACTGTAGCATACAGCATTGAATCTTGCCAGCAGAAATTATTACTGTGGTGTTTTAAAGTTGGTTTTCTATTTCCCACATTTCTTCTATAGTTATTAATTGGAATTATTCCATAAAGAAGAGTTGCCTCTTTCTTTTTAGCTATTTTTTATTATTAAGGGCTTATGGATACTTCAATCCAGTGTGACACTTATAATCCATAATGTGTTATTTCTTTTATTGTTTGATTGGTCCAGCTCTGACCGTGGGAAGATTTGGCAACTGTGTCACTTTGATGTGCTCTTATCCTTTTTATTTCTATTTAAAAATTTTAGCACTTCTTTTTTTTTTTTTTTTTTTGGTACCACAAGAAGTTCCAGGCTCATTGCACAAGTGTACCTTGTACAATCTCTGTTCCAGTCTCCCAATCAACCATGGAGCGTTGGTTCCTTTTACAATGAAATTGTACATAAAGTAATTCATTTTAATCTGGGTGTAACTAGCGCATTAATTCTGAATTTTATATGCAGATTTGTTATATTTATATTCTGTTCCATTTTTCCGTTTTGTATTCGCCAAAAATTCATTCATGTGTAATTTTTACATGTAACATAAGGTTTTCTATCACTGCTACTTTAGAATATGTACTGTTCTCAACTATACTTTTTAGTAGGATAATAACATGATGTGATAGCCTAATTATTTGATTGAATTGAATTGGTCTTCAAAGAGTCTCATTTGAAAAGGGCAGATACATTTTCTTGGAGACAGGCTATTTGGCATTTGGCCAAAAGAATGGATGAATCAATGAACCATGGAGATGTCTCTTTGCTTGAAGTCATATAAAATAACAATTAAATATTAATGAAAAAGTCATGCATATTGCTTTGACACAGATCAATATTCAACTTAGCAAGAATGAGATGAAAGGAATTGATTTGTGTTCAAGCTCAGAAGCAGTTTCTTTCAGCGACTTTTTCTGGTGAGACAGCAATTCCTCTAGTACATAACATGAAGGACTGACAAGTTACACTGAAGCATGGCAAAGAGAGGAAAAAAAAAGACATTGCAGAGGGAAAAATAGCTCTCTAGTTTTAGACACCATGGAAGAAATAGAGATAATAACTGTTCCAACAGATTTCTGACAAAAACGGGAGCATAGAAAAATGTGAAAATAAATAGGAAAGAACAAAAGTCTAGGATTATAAGAATAGCTGTACTGCTTACCAGCATGTGCCTTCATTAAAAACTGGCCATTTAGAATATTTAAATTCAACATTAATTCTTTGAGCACAAGATATATGTCAACTAAGGAGCCAAGCCGAAGGAGATACAATGAGCATTACTGGTAGTGCCTGCCAGTAAGCCCACCTTCCAGTCTTAGACATAGGTGGGAATATGGTCTCAGTGGAACCTATCAGACTTTCTCCTGAAGTTATGAGTGATAGACAGAGGTTACAAAGCATATGAATCTGTTGGGTGCTATGCTATCTTGAGAATACTCAAGGTTCATGAGTTCCTGCTATAGAGAGAAGAGCTGGCCTTGATTCTAGATTTTATTTTTTATTTTTAAATTTTATTTTTATAGAGACAGGGTCTTGCTATATTGTCCAGGCTGGTCTCGCACTCCTGGGCTCAAGCAATCCTCCTGCATCGGCCTCCCAAAGAGCTGGGATTAAAGGTGTGAGCTACCATGCCTGGCTGATTCCATATTTTTTTAAAGGCCTGATCATTCCAGTTTTTCTTTGATATTGTAAGCTTCTCAGTATCTTTCAAAATAGATTTCCTTTAATAAATCATTGAGGTATTCAGAATCACCCAATCCACTGAGAACCTGAATAGAAGAAAAAGGCAAAGGAAGGGAGAATTCGCTTTTTCTGTTTGAGCTGCAGTGTCCATATTCTCCTGCCCTTGGACATGGGATAGGAGCTCCTGCTTCTCCACCCTCTGGATCCAGGCTGAATTACACCACCGGCTTTCCTGGTTTTCCAGTTTACAGATGGTAGATCATGGGACTTCTTGGCTCCATAATCACTTGAGCCAGTTCCTATAATTAATGTCCTATTATATATGCAGATATCCTATTGGTTCTCTTTCTCTGGTGAACCCTAATGCAGCTGCACTGTTCATAATGTAGTGGTTTCTTGAGCTTTTACAGTTCTGCTTCTGTATCATTTTGGGGGTCCTGCATTCCTGGTAAACTAAGAAACATCTCTCTGAGGTCTGAATACCTCATCAGACACTGCCTTGGACTAGTTAGTGCACCAGCCTCTGGTCCAAAGATTGAAGACTCTCTCTTTTCCCTATTTGGTGGAAACTGGTATCTGCTGCACAGATATTCTCTCTGCTCCCTTCTGCCCAGGTCTCCTATCAGTCTCTTCATTTTGGTTAGGCTTTTGTGAAAGAAAGGCATCTTTGATCTTTTCTTAATCTTATTGCTTCCAAAATCTCTGATTCAAGAAATTTAAGAAGTCTGGCTACCTAATTGAACTGAAAAGAGTAGACAGGTATGAGATAAATTTACAAAGCAAAATAAAATGTAATATCTCAAAAGATCAATGTATCAGATTGGGCATGCCTGTGCAAGAATTTGAAAATATATTATGTAGTCACTCAGTAGAGGTGGTTAATAGTTGAAAGATGAGGATGTTTATTGACTCTGGCTGCTGACTTCCATATTTTTCTAAATGCCAAATTAGCCTTCACCTGTAAATATAGTACAACCCCTTCATCTAGATCAATTTCGATCCCAGATAAATTGCTCTCTGAAAGAGCCTGGAGTCAGAATTGTGTTGAAGCCCCTCTACCTCTGATGCTCTGGTTTCTTGATTCCTGGTGTGCACTCTGGTTATCCACCTCCCTGTGTTGAAACCCCAGATTCCTGATGCTAATAAATTGTCTCTTTGCAACTCTATTACTGTCAATTTTTGGAACTTTTTGCTTGATAGCCATCTGGATTGACATCCCAGATAATCGTTCTATGTGCACATTTTAACCTCTGGTTAATCTTTCATTTCCTGATCAGTTCTCGGACTCATGTTCATGAAATCCATCCCTAGATTGGCATCACCTTAGCCATATCCTTACAAAGCCTTTCATTATTAGACATATTTGGATTGGACTTAGAAGACTATTTCAGTCAATTCTGCTGACTTCGAGTCCTGGAAATGGCAGAATGGTGAAAAATAATTAATAGATGTTCCAGATCTCCTGGTACTTACGCAAGCATTCACGGACGTCTTCACTTCTGCCTTTGTTCTGGATATTTAGGTAAGGTATTAATCAAAATGTAAAAAGGATCTTGATGGGGACAAAGAGTTTCTTTCACAGTGGAAATTTACCCATTTCAAGGACACTGCTGCTAAACAAATCTGATTTGTGATTTTACCCTTGTGAGCTAGTTGTAGTACTTAGTTTTGTTATTAGAAGATGGTTTTAAAAGGGCAGCGCAAATTTGTCTGGTAATAAGATAAGCAGACAAAAGGTCAAAGAGCCACTGCCGAAGAGATTGTTTACTGAGAATTGAAGACAGGCTTCCCGTTTCAAATGGTATCTAGGGAAATTTCCACTAACTCCAACGCCAGTAGAATGAAACTGAAAGTGAAATTGGTAGGTCAGCAGTACTGTGCCAACTTCAAAGTAGGTAGAAATTTACTTAGTTTCTCCTTTGCTGTGTGCACCTCACCAAAACTGCAGGGTCTTTAGCAAACAAAAAAAGCAGAGTAGCCATCCTTGTACGAAAAAAATACATATGAATATATTTAATTTATTGGGCACCAGACCCCATATATCGCATGTTAGATTCATTAGGTGGGTACGGCTCTAAAAAACTAATGGGTATGAAAGTGACAAATTAAAACTATGCAGCATACTTTCTCCACATAATTAGTCTCATAAAACAGAGTGGATACAGGAAGAATCCTGGTGGCAGACAGAAGAGTAGATTTTAATTTTTCTCCAAGTTCATAATATTTAGTAAATGCTAGGAAGAAATCAAGTTCATAATATTTAGTAAATGCTAGGAAGAAATCAAGTTCATAATATTTAGTAAATGCTAGGAAGAAATCTTATTTACAACACATAGATGGCTGTTTAGAGGCTGGAAGTTGTTATAGAAATCCTACTGTCCAACCGTATCTGCAAGGAAGAGATTTGAAAAACGTCCAAGTGGTTCTTGAATGGGAGCATAGTAATCACATGCTCCCCATTTTGACAAATCTTGTGTTTGGAAAGATTTTATAGTTGTTTAAGGATAAATATAAGGGAAATAGCATATTGGAACAGAAAGGTTAGGTTTAGAGGGTATGTTAGTTTTGTGTTGCCGCTCTAACAAATTACCACAAATTTAAAACAACACAAATTTATTATCTTAAAGTTCATGAAGTCATAAATCTGAAATAGGTCTTTCTGGGCTATAATTAAGGAGTCAGCAGTGCTGCATTCCTTCTGGAGACCCTAGGGAGGATCCGTTCCTTTTCCTTCTTACACAGGCCACCCACATTCCTTGGCTCATGGCCCCCTTTCTCCATCATCAAACCCAGCATATGACTGAGTCTTTGTCCTGCTGCCATCTCTCTAATGTTTTCACCTTTCTGTCCCCTTTCACTTATAACGCCCCTTGTGGTTACACTGGGCCTGCCCTGTTAATCCCAGTATAAGCTCCTCATCTCAAAAGTCAGTTAACTTTAATTATCTCTGCCACCTTAATTCCTCTTTGCCATGCCGTTCTAATATATTCGTGGGTTCTAGAGATTTAAACTTGGACATCTCTGCATCTCTGTTAATCTGTCAATCATAGAGGGCAAGATAATTAAGGCTATACATTCAAAGCTCTATAAATTACTTATATGAATGGGAGGGAAATTTTAGAAATTAAAATCTCAAAAAATGTTTTTAATAGGTAAATAACAATATACTCTCTGTGATAATTGCTAATTTTACTTCTTCTTAACTTTTATAATTATTATTATATCATCTACATTTCTGGAACAATAGAAAATAATAGTGATGATGAAGGAAAAGGCCAAAAAGAAAAAAACCAACAATATCAATAATATCAAAACTAAATAAGTGGCTGGGTACAAAAGAAATAGATGGAAATTATTAAAACAGGAAAAGTTTTCCTTTATCCCCCTCCCAGGGCATGTGACAGGAGGAGTGGCTCGCTTCTTCGGTGCCCCACAGCAAAGAACCCCTAGGGGAAGCATGCGCAAGGGCAGGTCGTGGGGAGCGCGGGCTTCAACCCCACTGCAGCGTTTAGGGTTGAGTGTTTACAGCTCTCAAAGCCCCAGTGGGCTCGTATTACAGTGCGCTCTTTCAGCTTAGCCTTAACACAGGTGGCTTGTGTTAATTAGCTCAATTAGACCTTCTGCCTTATTCCAAGGACAGAGGGCTTTCTGTATCCTGGGGTTCTTGCCCTAGTGTACCAGAAAAATCAGATCACACGTGGGCTTGGAGAACGAGTGCAAGGTTTTATTGAGTGGTGGAAGTGGCTCTCAGCAGACGGATCGGGAGCCAGGAGGGGGATGGAGTGGGAAGGTGGTCTTCCCCTGCGTGAGCCGCTCATTCAGCGGCCTGGCTCTCCTCCCACTGCCCTTGGCTGAATTTTCCTTGGCATCCATGTGGTTCCTGCTGGCGGTGTCTGTTGGTGTGTTCTTCTGCTGGTGTGTTCCTCTCAATGTCCAGCTGTTTGTGTGTGTGTGCCCACTAGGGTCTCTGGGTGGTTTTTATAGGCACAGGAATGGGGATGCAGGGTGGCTGGCCAGAGTGGTCTTGAAAAATGCAACAGTTGGGTGTGAAAACAGGAGTGCCTCTCCTCACATAGGTCCATGGGCACAGGCCCGAAGGTGGAGCCTTCACCAGGGACCCTGCCTTTCTCTATCCAGCGCTTCCCTGCTCACCTCCCGTATCATTACAATACATAAATACATATATAATGCAACTTATATATGTGTGTATAATATCATATACACGATAATGTGCATATATAATTTAAGTGTATACATTACATATAATATAATCATATACACGTATATATATACACCTATATATAGTATCATTTTTATATATGTACAAATAGTATTTTAGAGCAAAAGACCTCATATCAATAGGAAGAGAAATTTCATTCCCATGTTTACAAAATGGCATATGTGAAACAGCACTCCTTGAAGCAATATTATGATAGAAAAAGATTGGAAAAAACCTAAAAGTTTTTAAGTATCTCACAATCAAATAATCTGATGACAAATAATATTTTTTTTTGTCCCACACTAAAATGGAAACGTTTCCAGTTTTCAGCAGTAAGTATCCTGCTGGCTTTTTATTCTAGGACCAAATTTAGTTTAGGAATAGGAAAATGAAGAAAGCCATTCTACAAACCCAAGGCTATACATTTTAAATTCATCTGTATATGCACACTAATAGACATTCATGTCATATAGGCATAGTAAACATTGTATGAAGGAAAATGTTAACAGGGTGTACTTCTTGTGAATGCAAATTAGATTTCAGAGAAAATAATATTTCACTTTATCACATTCTGCACTTCTACATTTTACCATGAATATTATTAAGGTTTAAAAATGTTAAGATACTCTTAAAAATAACAAGATTGAAATGGGCATTTTCTGTCATAAGAAGCAGAATTGATACTTCTTTAATCTACACAGTGGCAAAAATGAGGAGCTCTTTAAGAAGGTGTAGAAAAACCATAAATAGTGTAAAAACTGAGAAGGAGTAAAAGGATGTGGAAGACAAAACAAAGAACTAACAAAACCAAATAATGATATTTCTACAGTAGGCCAAAAGTTACAAATAGAAGCAATTTTCAAATACTAAACAGAACATTTCATTTCTTCTGATTTGAAGCAAGATCTGTATATATAAATTGATGAATTCTTAACATTCCAGGAAAAATCAATTAATGAGACATCTCTACACACTTGTCCTTTGCATTAATAGAAAGGATTCTAGTCATATGGGAACTTTACCTTTCAGGGAATGTGTAAATTGGATTTCTTTGGATTACCTATGAAAAATTCCAAATAAATTGCTTTGTAAAACTAAGGAGCACAAATCAGTAACTTTTATAGTTTTGAGAAAAAGAAACAATGGCCTTAATTTTGGTTTTATTATTTTTTTACCTAGAAATTGGTTAATGTGCTAGGCAATGTAAGAACGTGAACACATGTAAGGCTACTGTTAATATTCCGCTGTGGTACCTATAACAAAGGAAATGGAAAAGTCATAGTTATCATGTTACTTGATGATTTAGCATCGCAGTCTAAGTACTTGGCATGAGTACTAACTTTTTTGACTTCCAGCAAGACATAATTGAGCAGAGTCAAGAGCTCCGTATTATATTTAATATATGCAGAACTTTTTCCTTACAATTTCCCACCTGCAGTGTGTTCTAGTTTTTGCCCACTCTGCAAGGCCGAATCCCTGCAGCAACAATAGAATCATGATCTATGATGCTGTTTCTGCTGTGTAGAGGCGAAAAATCAATGTGATATAAAATTTATCATTATTAATGTCATTTAGGAGTAAAATATATGTCACATATGTATAATACTGTTATTCATGCTGAAATTACTGTTGTGTTGCCCTGCAGACCTATATGATTGATTAATTTTAAATTAAAAGTAAATTAAAAAATATTGACCTTTGGGTACTCAAAAGGCACTTTAAAGGAAAAATGAATAAGAAGAACTAAAGTTTTAGAAATAAAATCATATATTTAATAATTTGGGTTTTAGAATTTGTGAGAGAAGATTTTTCTTGAATATTCTTTTTTTTCTCCAGGGAAAATATATTACTAAATTTTATCCAAATCTATCTGGATATGTACATCTTCATAGGAATACATTGGACTCCATGGGTGCTTTGACACCCATGGAGAAATGAAATGTGCTTTGCTGTGTCTGTGCTGAGAGTTCAAGATGTATTTTTTGATATCATTATCAGTCTAGAGAGTGGTGAGCCCTGAGGTAAAGTTTGGGCTAGTCTTCAGTTCCCCACATGATCTCCATGACTTACACCACTGACTTCAAATTCTTTGATGTAAAACAAATAGATTTTCAGTCTTCTGTAAAGGGTCACCAAGATGTAGATTCAAGAAAAGTCTCTATAGGCTGCCCAACACAAAAACCAGGCAATCACTGTAAGCCCCTCTTATTTACTAAATCTATATCTGCCACTGACTACTGGAAGTGGCTATGTCTTAGTTATTTCTAAGAACAATATGTACAGTTTGTCCTTCAGAAATGCTTTGCGATTAGATAATTACTGCACTCAAAGAGACATCTTACAGCTTTTAATAGGACATTTTGTCTTTTCTGGGAGCAAAGGAGTTGTGAATGGGTGTAAAAATAGTATTTGTTCAGTAATATGTTTTTGCTAGAGCACAGTTTTGGGGGCTGCAATCAGTGGAGTGATCCCTTCTATATCTTGATGTAATATTACTGGAACTTAGTGAAGTAGAAGAGATCACTCCTTTGTTCTGATTTTTACCGGAAAATGCTTGGCTGGAAGCTTTGTAACTGCTTTTTTCTCTCTGGAGGATTGATAGTTCAGTCCTTTCAGATGTGGATCAGACATATACTCTATGGGGTGTGAAGTGGGAAGAAGGAAAGACAATAGGAAAAATAATCTTCAATGACATTAGCAATCAGCACAATTTACAAGAGTTAAAGTTACCATAGGAACACAGAGAAGAGGAAAGTTTACTGCCAGAATTAAGTAGGTACAACACACACACACACACACACACACAGGCACACAGGTTTCCAAAGGTCAAAAATTTTTTTAATTTTTATTTTTCTGCTTTTTAACTGTATCCCCAGTGCCCCCAACTTTGCTATGAAGACCAAGGCACTGTGGAATTGTGTGTCTGCGTTTGGAAAGTCAGCTTGTGCCTAAATGGATTTTGAAGATATCAGGCATTCTAGGATTGAGACTGAGAATTCCTTTTGTTACAACAGGCAAGAGTAAGAGCCAATAAATAAAAGAATGCTACATTTTAATTTTCAAAGATATGATTTTTTTACATTTCATATCTCAAATCAGGATGTATCTTGGAATCAATAGTATGTTCCATGTGAATTGCCAGTGTTTAAAAAAAATTGTTGATGGTAAATCAGATAACAGTGCATCTTGTAACTGATGGCATCTTTAGATAAGATGAAATACGGTATTTTGATAGTGTGTAATATGTTTTAGGTTTGTAATTTATTAATTCATTTTACTTTTCTGTGGCTGGTGATGTAGTTGCCTGGTGATTTATTTCCATTTGAGCATTCAGAGTTTGAAGGTGAACTCATTAGCCAAGTAAGTGCATATCCATCTCAGTCAGTGTATGGTACTCACAGCATCAAACAACTACAGCTTTCTTCCTAGACTATCTAATGTATTTGTAATTGTCATTTTTTGGAAAATTGTATTTAACATGTTTAGGCTATATTGCCACATTTAAAAATCATCAACTACTTTGTCAACTTCAGTATGGTAAAATTAAGTTTAAAGGTCACCTTTATATCTTTATGTGTCCTTTATATCTTATTCTCTTATTTTTACAGTTATTTAAATTCCAAATATACCCTGATTGTAAATGGGGTAAAGAAGGATGACTCATTTGAAGAATCAGATAACAAAGGGGTCCCGAAAATCTGAAAAATAAAGAGAGTTAACATGATGCTAATCATGTAGACACTTTAGGAAGTTGTGCATTTGATAGAAATTTTCTAAGAGATGACATTACTTTAGATATAAATTTTAATAGTTCCTTTTTTGGTTGTATATATCATGTTATATAGAAAATGTATACATTTATAATATAATTTAATTTAACAACATACAATTGGCAGCCAGCTGATCATTTCTATTTTTCTGTTTTTAGAAGGAGAGTTGCTCTTTCTGCTATTTTGGAAATCACATTTTATTTTTCTCTAGGGTGACAGAAAATTATCAGAACTAAGAGGGCAATTTTATTCCTTCTAAAGTAGTTAAAATTCATTCAAACAGTTAATTTGTGTCTCCCTTGTATATCATTTGCATCCTACATTGAGTTTTTCCTCTTTTGTTAAAATGCCATCAGTATGTTTCTCCCTTGATAGAGGCCTCAGACATTTTTTCTTGATTTAAACTTGAATTCTTGCTCTGTCTTATTGTAACCACTACTTTTTTGTTGGAGAATAGCCTATATTTACTTAATCCCATTTAACCATGTGGAATATGGATTCCCATGAAGAAAAATCAAGCAAATTTCAGTATTATCATATTTTCTGTGGATCGATTCTCCATCTGTAATCTAAAGAAGTGGTCATGGGTAGAGGCCCTCTGAATAGCTTCTTTTGCAGTAGGAAAGAGTGTTTGGCCCTCTAACTACTGTGGAATATGGGAGAAACCACACTTATTTCTATTTTTCCTCTGGATTCTCTCCTAGTTAAAGGATAAAATAATATGTGGAAAGGAATGGAAGGAAGACAAATTATGGAATGTTTGCACTGTCAGAGGTAGTTCAGAGAAAAGAAAACTTCTAATGTCTATTGAACTCATGCAATGCTATAACAAGAAGAGAATTATCTTCTTAATACTCTCCATAGTTAGTACTTTACTTCTTACTTAATCTTCAAAACACTTTTTTATGTTAGGTGTTAATACCATGCTTGCTTTAGAGATTAGAAAATTGAAGCTTAGAACTTAAGTAGCTTGTCCAAACTCATGCAGCTGTTGTTAGAGTGAGGATTCGAAATAAGGTTTATTTTGCTATAAAGTTCATAACCACTTTATTTTTTCTACATAATGTTATCTGTATGCAGTGAAGTTTTTAAATAATTTAAAACATCTAAGTGACATTATTGGATTTTTGTGTTAGACTATCACCCTGGGAGCAGTGTGGAGACAGGTTTGATGCAAGGGAGTAATAATAGAGCCCAGAAGCCTTGAAAGCCAGTTAGAGACTTAGTTCAGTAGATGATTAATGCATGAATTACAGTGGTAGTAATAATAACATAAATAATATTTATAAGTAACATAAATAATATTTATAAGTAACATAAATATTCTTTGTAATATTAGTATTATTGTAATTGTAATATTTGTATTATTTCTAATATTTGTAAATAACAAAACACTGGATAAAAGACAGTCCTCTGCTGAGGACAACTTGAAAAACTGGATTAAACAATACAAACAAAGGCCTTCTATTTAAAAAGGCATCAGAGTGTTAATGAAGAAATACCAGCCCAGGATTCAAGAAGAGAACAAAACCAAGATTGGCAAATTCTAGCACTTGGGCTATTTTCCCCCTAGATTATTGATAATCCCGGGGCAGTTGACAGGCAGCTGAATTTTGCTACTGACAGTCTCACAGAACTAGGGTAATAGGGTTTAGAGTCCAGGTCCCATCAAAAGCAGTGGTTCTGCTAAGCATCCTTTACCTTTAGTGAGGGGCCGAAAATTACACCTTTGGAAAAAAAAAAAAAAGAACTAGGAATAGATAGACCTTTTCAAGGACTACAGCTCAGGTATGAATCATTTTAATCTTTGGAATTGAATTGAAGTGATCCCAGATAGTTAGTGCATCCAAGTACCAGACAAAAGCAGCCTAATTCCTCTCTAAAGGAAGGTGATGTGGTAGCTCTCAAATAATTTTCTACAACAATTTTGCAAATATAATGTCGAGTACAAAGAAAGGAATCAGGTACAAAGAATACAAGACATCCTGGATGACAGTGAAAAGCAGACAAAAGAAACAGATTTGGAAGTGCCTTAGATAATAAAGACAGAGTTAAAATAACAGCTTATCTCCTAAAAGAGAAAATAAGCAATTGAGAATTTTTTGAGAAAAACTTAAAAGAATTGTAACTGAAAACTACAATATTGTTACTGAAAATATCAAAGAATTTTTTTGCTTTTCTTTTTTTTTTTTTTTTGAGATGGGGCCTCGCTCTGTCACCCAGGCTGTAGTGCAGTGGTGTGATCATAGCTCACTGCAGCCTCCACCTTCTGGGCTCAAGCAATCCTCCCACCTCAGCCTTCCTGGTAACTGGGACTACAGGTGCATACCACGATGCCTGGCTAATTTTTTAAATTTTTTGTAGGATGGGCTCTTTCCGTGTTGCCCACCCAGGCTGATTTCAAACTCCCGGGCTCAAGTGATCCTCCCACCTTGGCCTCTCAAAGTGTTAGGATTAGAGGCATGAGCCACTGCACCGAGCTCAAGGATAGTTTTTATGAGAAGAAGAAATGCAAATGAAGAAAAATTCATGAAGAAAAAAATATATAAAAGGTATCACATATGAATGAAAAGATAAGAAACCCTAAGTTTTGTAGTTAGAGTTGAGAAAAACCAGATGAATGCAAGATTTGAAGAAATGTTTTGCTTTGCTGATACTTATTAAAATTAATAGAAGATATCATGCAACAGATGCAAGTGGTCTTATGAATGAGAAAAACTCAAATCCTAGTATACATGTTTTAGCTATACATTTTATGAATAGCTTAGAGGGTGAATTAGAAAGTTATCTCAAAGATCACATTTCTGTAGTTGTCTTACTGACATTTCACTTTGGCCATGTTGGGTGTTTACTTCATAAACATCTCATGCTTTCAACCTATAGCCAAATGTAAAAGAAACTTTTGGACCTTGAATGTTTATTCATTTGTATATTCTAGCAGACCCAAGACCATTTGCTGAGAAAAATCCCATCACTGTCATCAGGTTTTACCTTGGTTTGACTTGGAATGACTTTTGATGGCCCCTTGCAATCTCCCTCTCAAAGATTCACAGTAGAAACTGCTTGGGTGACTTGAAGACATCCTAAAGTAAAAAACAAAATTGTTTTAATTGTTTAATTTAACTAAAACTGAAGTCCAAGCTCCACATCAGAACCCTTTTCGTGTATAACAGTTGTGACCCAGGGACATCCCTTGGGGAACATTATTCAACTCAATTTTGTTCTTACTAAGGTAAGAACATGTGACTCAGAGTTAAAGTGAATCTCTTAACGTCTCATAGTGAAGAGTAGAGCAAGGAAAGAAAGTTTGCTTATTATTTGGTTTCGTTTTTGTTTTTCTTTTAATTTGGCCTAGTTGTTTTTTTGTTAAAAAATACACCTCTATTAAGGTGAAAATCCTGAAGTGCTCAGTCCCACTTGACAACTGAAATCACTTTGTAACCTTGCCAGCTATATCTTCTGGTGGCAATCTCTATATTTCTAAATTATATGCATATGTTTATAATGTATGTATATATGTTATATATGTGTATATAGTTTCATATGTATATAGTGTTATATGTATTATGATACAAATTATAATTATCTATAATGTATTATGATTTATTGATTTTAGACTATATCTCATGAGTAGTATTTGTGTTAGGTTAAGACTTAACTTACTTGAAGGACCTCACCTCATCCTCTATCTTCTCAAGTAAATTATAACACATTAGTTATATTATGAACTGTCTGGATAGTTCACATTGAGCTATCATATTGTTCAGCTTATAAATATGTAAGAATTATCCAGATATCTTTCTATAATAAAGACTGATTCCTATTTTGATGTTTGATCACTGACAGCTTTAAAGCTCCACCCCTCCCTCTTTACCTTTTGCCTCACATCTGGAAAACTGATTTACAAAAAAGCTCAGGAGCTCCCTCCCTTGGCATTGGCGGAGAAGTTCAAACCATGTAGATCCCTACCTGGTTTCACCTCTTAATCCAAAATAAGCTGGGGTCATCTATTCTTCTCATGGTTGTTTTACTACAGAAGGAATCTGATCCCTTTTCTTGGAGAATACTTTTGCCATTTACTATCTGAGTAATAAACTTTATTTCATATTTATTAGTGTCTGTATGTCCTTCTTCCTGATATCCCCAAATTTCTCGGCAGAATATAGTGGAATATACTAGTTTCCCAAATAAAACACATTCAGCTATTGATCAGATTCCACTGTGGCAAGAGAGGATATGATTTCAATCCTTTTGTTATGGAATGAGATTTGTTTTATGGCCTAGCATATTTTTCATTTGGGTTGAATGTTTCATGAATACTTGAAAGTAAAGTATTTGCTGTTGTTCTTGGGTAGAGGATTCTGTATATCTCAACTAGGTCAATATGGCTGATAGTATTGTTGAAAGTTTCTATACTCTTACTGATCTTATATCCATGTAGTCTGTCAATTACTGAGAGATGATAGTTTAAGTCTCCAACTAGAATTGTAGATTTCTCTCTTTATCCTTTCATTTCAGTTCCATCAGTTTTTGTTTTACGTACATTGGAGTGTGTAATGTACATATACTTACCATTAATTTTTTTGATAAATTGATTTCTTTATCATTAGGCAATGTTCTTCTTTATCCCTGATAACATTTTCTTTTCAAAAGATATCCCCAGTATATCTTTTCTCTTCAAAAGATTACTTAGTATGATGTTCATGGCACCACTCCAGTCTTCATTTGATTAGTGTTGGGTATGTGTGTATATGTATATTTGTGTATATATATAGATATATATGTATATGTGTATATATATGTGTGTATATGTATATTTGTGTGTTTGCATATATTATTTCTGTGTACATATTTGTGTATATGTACATATATATGAATATGCATATATATTTGTGGGTATATGTATATTTGTGTGTGTGTATATATATGTGTATACACACAAATATACATATACACACGTATATATATACACATATATATGCATACACACATTTTTTTCCTCTCCAATACTTTTATTTATGTCTTCATAAAGTTTTTACTCTTACAACATGTAGTTGGATCTGCTGTTTTAGACAATCCAGCAATGTCTGCCTTTCATTCAGCCTGTTTAGACCGTTTACTCTTAATGTAATAATTGACATAGCTGGATTTCAGTCTGCCATTTTAATAATTGTATCTTTTCACCTCATCTAGGACTTTGGTCTTTTTTTCCCTTTCAGACCTTTTAAAAAATAGTGAGTAGTATGTATAATCCCTTTTTATTTCTACCATTGGCTTATTAATTACATAGCTTTATTACCATTCTATATATATGAATATTGACAATATAAAGGTTGCTAAAGGTTGATAATATACAGGCATACCTTGGAGCTATTGCATTATTTGTTCTGGTTCATCAAAATCATAAAAATTTTACAATAAAGAGTGCCACACAAATGTTTTTGTTTCCCAGTGCATATTAAAGTTATGTTTATACTATAATGTGCAATGGCATTATGTCTAAAAGATGTGTACACCTAAATTTAAAAATACTTAATTATAAATGCTTTCATTAAAAAATACTGAGAAAGAGACAGTACATGCTGTTGGAAAAATGGCTTCACTGATGGACTTTCTTGATGCCGTTTTGCCACAAACCTTCAATTTGTAAAGAACACAGTGTCTGCAAAGCATGATAAAACAAAGCTATAAAACAAGGTATGCCTGTACATCTTTAATTTACCACAGTTTACTTTCAAATAATATTGTGCCACCTCACATATAGTATATGAACATTGTAACCATATACCTCAATTTCCTTATTTTATCCTCTGGGCTATTGTTGCCATATAGTTAATTAATACATATATTGTAAACCTCACAATATATAGTTACTCTTCAGAAAGTCAAATTCTTTTAAACTAACATTTTTTTGGGAAAAAAGGACATTTACATCTACCTTTATTTTAACGATTACTGGCAGTCTTAATTCCTTTGTGTAGATCCACATTCCTTCTGCATGAAAAAGATAGTATTTAATCTAACATTTCTGGTAGTGCAGTTTAAATGGCAATGAGGTCTTTAAACTATTGTCTGAAAAGTCCTTTATCTCACTACCATTTTTGAATGATATTTTTGCCAGGTATAGAATTTTGAGTTGACAGGTTTTATTTTAGTGCTTTAAAGCCTTCTTTTATGTTTGGGCTTGCATATTTTTGAAAAAGGAGTCTGATATCATTTCTGTCTTTTTCATTTCCATATAACATTTCTTTTTTTTTTCCTAGCTGCCTTCAAAAGCTTCCTTTTTTCTTTCTTTCTTTTTCTTTTTTTTTTTTAGCAATGTAATCATGATTCATCTACGTTTTTAAAAAGTTCATCTGATTTTTCAAGTTCTGTAAGCTTCTTAGATCTATGATTTAACATTGTTCACTAATTTTCTGAAGAACATTCTTGGCTATTATCCCTTCAAGTATTTATTTGCCTCGCTCTCTCTCTTTTCTCCTTTTGAGTCACCTGTTGCACATGTGATAGACTGTGTGGTATTGTTTCACATATCTTGGATTCTCCTTTTGTTTTCTTTCTTTGTTTTCCCTGTTTGTGTTCCAGCTCAGATAATTTCTATTGCCTGCCCTCTAGGTCTATGATTGTTTCTTTAGGTGTGTGTAATGCCCTGATAATTCCATCTAAGGAATTATTAATTTCTGACATTGTGATATTAGGTATATTTCCATTTGGCTGTTCTTAAAATAATTTCTTACTTTTGGTTGAAATACCCCATCTATTCATCCATTTTTTTTACCTTTACCACTAGACCTTTAATACATTAAATACAATTACTTTAACATCCCTGTCTGATAGTTTCAACTGTGCAATGTAGTTTACTCCAGGAATTCTTCTTTAAAGGATTGTGAAGTTTCCTAGTTAGAGAATAGGTGTATGCTTCCTAGTTTAGGATGTTCCTTCTTTCCTCACTCAAAAAATTGGGTTCGTCCTCACAATTCTTATGGTTTTGAGTAATTGGTTTAGTTAAATAAACTCCTGAAAAAAAGAGACGGGAATAATAGAAGAAAAGAAAAGGCAAGAATATGTTTCCTGGGATACCTCGACTCTGGAATTAATTAAATCAGATATTAAATTTTCACCAAGATGACTGCTACAAACCACTCAAGGATGAAGATTTTGATTTTGGTTTTTAACTTTTATTTTAAGTTCAGGGGTACATGTGTAGGTTCGTTATATATGTAAACTTGTGTCATGGGCATTTGTTGTACAGAATATTTCATCGTCGGAGTATTAAGCCTAGTACCCGTTGGTTGTTATTACTGATCCTCTCCCTCCTCCCACCCTCCATCCTCCAATGGGCCCCAGTGTCTGTGGTTTCCCTCTCTGTGTCCAAGAGTTCTCATCATTAAGCTCTTACTTATAAGTGAGGGCATGTGGTATTTAGTTTTTTGTTCCTGTGTTAGTTTGCTAAGGATAACGGCCTCCAGCTCCATCCATGTTCCTGCAAAGGACATGATCTCATTCTTTTTCATGGCTGCATATTATTCCATGATATATATGTGCCAAATTTACTTTATCCAGTTTATCATCAGTGGGCATTTAAGTTGATTCCATGTCTTTGCTATTGTGAATAGTGCTACAATGAATATACACGTGCATATATCTTTATAGTAGAACAATTTACATCCCTTTGGGTATATACCCAGTAATGGAATTGCTAGGTGAGATGGTAGTTCTGTTTTTAGGTCTTTGAGGAATTGCTGCACTGTACTACACCATGATTGAACTAATTTACACTCCCACCAGTAGTATAAGTGTTCTCTTTCCTCTGTAACCTCACCGGCACCTTTTATTTTTTGACATTTTGATATATAGCCATTCTGACTGAGGTGGTGAGACAGTATCTCATTGTGGTTTTGATTTGCATTTCTCTAATGGTCAGTAATGTCGACCTTTTTTTCATATGCTTGTTGGCTTCATGTATGTTTTCTTTTAAAAGTGTCTGTTCATAAACTTTGTCCACTTTTTAATGAGGTTGTATTTTTTCTTGTAAATTTGTTTAAGTTCCTTATAGAGGCTGGATATTAGGTCTTTGTCAGATTCATAGTTTGTAAAAATTTTCTACCATTCAGTAGGTTGTCTTTTGATAGTTTCTTCTGCTGTGCAGAAGCTCCTTAGTTTAATCAGAAAGAAAGGTGGATATTTTTATTATGATGGGGATAAGAAGGAAATGTTTTATGGTACCACAGGACTTTGAATATGGCAGTCAGTGGTAGAGGCATAAGAATAAGTGTTCAGAGGATGAAAAAATGCACTAAACATTCACATTGCTTATTTCCCAGTAAATATATTGAGATTAGTGTTAAATGCTAAAATATTTACCTTTTCCAAATCCAGCCTAATTTTTTCATTGAAAAGAATTTCCCCATCGATCTCACCATTATTTTATACAATTCTTTTATTGAAAGAAAAAGATAAAAAGTATTTTGAGGGAGAGAAAGAGCCCAATATAAGTAAAATATCTCCCCCATTACCATAATGGTATACTTTACTGTACATAAAATCTATTTTTACCACTTTCAGAACATAACCATAGTTAGCATTTGTATAGTATGGCAGAGATTGCAAAGTGTTTTTAGATGCCCTGTGTCATTGAACCTCAGGCAAAAACTTGAGCTTGCTATAAGCAGCAGGTGAAATAGATCGTAAAAGATGATATGACTAACCCAGAGTAATATCACTAGAAAATGGCAGAGCGAGGCCTCAACAACATCCCTTCATGATAAAAACTCTTTCAACATCCCTTCATGATAAAAACTCTCAACAAACTGGGTACAGAAGAAACATACCTCAGCATGATAAAGACCTTATACAGCAGATGCACAGCTAGTATCATACTGCTGAGTATATATTCAAAAGAAAGGAAATCAGTATATCAAAGACATATCTACACTCCCATGTTTATTGCAACTGTATTCACAATAGCCAAGGTATGGAATCAACCTAAATGTCCATCAATGAATGGATAAAGCAAATGTGGTACATATACATAATGGAATATTTTTCAGCCACAAAGAAGAATGAAATCCTGTTATTTGCAGCAACATGGATGCTGTTGAACATTGTGTTAAATGAAATAAGCCAAGAACAGAGAGACACGTGTTGTATTTTTTCAGTCATATGTGGGAGCTAACATTTTGATTTTATGGAGGTAGAGAGTAGAATGATGGTTACCAGAGAAGGCTGAGAAGGGTAGTGAGGTGGGGATAAAGAGGGTTGGTTAATGGGTACCAAAATAGGGTTCGATGGAAGAAATAAGATCTAATGTTTGGTAGCACAATAGGGCAATAACAGATAATAATTTATTATATATTTCAAAATAACTACAGGAGTATATTTGCAATGTTCCTAAGGCCAAGAAATACATGTTTGAGGTGATGGATATCCCAGTAGCCCAGATTTTATCATGACACATTGTATGCTTGCATCGAAATACCACATGTATTTCATAAATATGTAAAACTTTTATGTATGCATAAAAATAAAAAGAAGATATCCTCTGATTTAACATCTCATGGACATCACCATCCCAATTTCTTCTCAGGTCTTTGGAATATGCTGAATTTATTTAAGAATATATGTGATATTATTAAACTGCTTGAATACCCTAAGGACTCCATAATAATTATGTTTTCTACTACATGTTAATAGTGTTAGGGTAGAAGGAATCTTAGTGGTTTGGGATTTTAATTCTAGATCACATAAACATGCTATTAAAACTTCTAATATCAAAATAGTTTCTATTAGTCCACCTAAATTTTTGAGCAATAGAAATCATTCTATTGCTCCTCGGCGCACTTCTGGAAATAGTCTAAAAACACCTAATTTTAAATTTCTAAACAATAAGCATTTGTTTCTGGTCTTAGATTAGTTCATAGTACATTAGAAGCTTACTAAAGCATCAGAAAACTTTTCACTCCAGTAAGACTACACTTGGTATTTGTACTGTCATGGACAAAGGGGACTGTATTTGTAAAACTCCTGAGAAGGAGTAGTTTATAGATAGGAATGTCAGTATTCATTGGTATAATGAATATGGGAGTTTTTGAAGAGACTCTGCTGGAAACATTACAGATTACAGGAAAGAGCCACATCATTCTGTAGCAAATTTTAGTGCCGCAACAACCATGCCAAAATGTATTTCAAAGCACCAAGAATTGGAGATGAAACAATTTATGCCTGGTCTGTAAGCACATGGAGATGTTAAAAAGCTGTCTGACCCTGGAATGCTAGCACCACTGTATCAGTGGGGGACATTGATTGTGGGAAATCAATATAAATCAAATTTTGAGATTTTACATGGAAATGAAATGTATTTAAAGCATATTTGGTACTCATATAATACACAGAAAGATTAGCTCATCATGCTTAAGAACCAAGGGAAGCTTCAGGATGCAGCCAGTAGAACTCCCACCACTGACTGTTCCTCTGAGAGGGCTCAATATTGATGCAGGGTTTTACGTTCTATCATGACTAGTGTAAATAGTTCCAAATGGCTTTGTAACTGCATTGTTCCTCAAAAATTCAAACTGTTGGATATGCAGTTGGCTGAGCCTAGGTCATTTGTCTATGATTCTGTGATATGAGAGGGGTCTCTGGTGCCAGGGTTGGATAGCTTTTAAATGAACAACTTCCCTACATATGTCAGCCAAGGTTTGCAAGTTTTGTCTCCCCCAAGATCCCTGACTGACCACAGTGATGTTAGTTTTATAGCTGTTAAAATATCTTCACTTACTTATTTACTTGGGAAAGAGGCTTACTCTTTGCATATAATTTTGGCAGTATTCAAGAATGATATGGTTTTTCCATGGAATCTATGGTAATTACAGTTGACAACTTTGAAAAAAAAACTTGCTGGATAACAATAGCAATAAGTTCTACTATTACATTTTAATTTTCCATTTCCTAGCCTCTTGATAAAGATTGTCCAATATTTCTTTAACTTTTTTTTTTTTGGTGGGGACAATAGGGTTTGCTAGAATTTTTAGAATTTTATTTTTTTCTATTTTTTAACTCTATTTTAGGTTTATGGATACATATGCAGATTTGTTATATAGGTAAACTCATGACTCAGGGGATTGGTGTACAGATTATTATGTCACTCGGGTACTAAGCTTAGTTATTTTTACTGATCCTCTTCCTTCCCCAAGTATCCACCCTCTAATAGGCCCCAGTGTCTGCTGTTCCCCTTTTTGTGTCCATGTGTTCCAATCTTTTATCTCCCATTTATCAGGAAGAAAATGTAGTATTTGGTTTTCCAGATATTAGCTCCCCAAGAATAATGGCTTCCAGCTCCATCCTTATTGCTGCAAAGGACATGATCTCATTCTTTTTCATGGCTGCATAGTATTCCGGTGTGTATATGTACCACATTTTCTTTATCCAGTCTGATATTCGTGAGTATTTAGGTTGATTCCATACGTTTGCTATTGTGAATAGTGTTGCTGTGAACATATGCATGCATTTGTCTTTATGTAGAACGATTTATACTGCTTTGGTTATATACCCAGGAATGAGATTGCTGGGTTGAATGGTAGTTCCGTTTTTAGCCACACCACTTTCCAACATGGTTGAACTAATTAACACTCCCACCAACAGTGTATAAGTAATTTTTTTTCTCTGCAACCTTGCCAGCATCTGTTATTTTTTTGATGTTTTGATAACAGCCATTCTGACTGTGAGATGTTATCTCATTTTGGTTTCAATTTGCATTTATCTAATGATTAGTGATATTGATCTTTTTTTCCGTATACTTGCTGGCCATATGCATGCCTTCTTTTGAAAAATATCTCTTCACGTCCTTTGCCCCCTTTTTAATGGGTCTGCCACAAAACAAATGAAATACTTAGGAATACAGCTAACCAGGAACGTAAAAGATCTCTGCAATGAGAATTACAAAATTCTGCTCAAAGAAATCAGAGATGACACAAACAAATGGAAAAACATTTCATGTTCATGGATGGGAAGAATCAGTATCATTAAATTGGCCCTACTGCCCAAAGCAATTTATACATTCAATGCTATTCCTATGAAATTACCAATGACATTCTTCTCAGAACTAGGAAAAACATCTCACAGTTCTGGATACTGAAAAAAAAAGAACTAGAAAAAATTATTTTAAAATTCGTGTGGAACCAAAAAAGAGACCGAACAGCCAAGGCAATCCTAAGCAAAAAGAACAAAGCTGGATGCATCACATTACCCGACTTCAAACTATACTGCAGGGCTACCAAAACATCACGGTACTGGTACAAAAACAGACACATAGACCGGTGGAATAGAATAGAAAGCCTAGAAATAATGCTGCACACCTCCATCTGATCTTTGACAATGCTGACAAAAACAAACAATGGGGAAAGGACTCCCTATTCAATAAGAGGTGCTGGGATAATTGGCTAGTCATATGCAGAAGATGGAAAATTAACCTTTTCCTTGCACCATATACAAAATTCAACTCAAGATGGATTAAAGACATAAACATAAACCCCCAAACTATAAAAACTCTGGAAGATAACCTAGTAAATACCGTTCTGGACATAGGAACTAGCAAAGATTTCATGCCAAAGATGTCAAAAGCAATTGCAACAGAAATGAAAATTGACAAATGGGATCTAATTAAACTAAAGAGCTTCTGCACAGCAAAAGAAACTATTAATAGGGTAAACAGACAACCTACAAAATGGGAGTAAATATTTGTAAACCATGCATCTGACAAAAGTCTAATGTCCAGCATCTATAAGGAACTTAAACAAATCGGTAGAATTTTGTAAGACTTGGTTGCATGTTGGGAAAGAGAACCTAGTAACCGAAAACTAACAAGTAGAAGAAAATTCTCAAAGAACAATGCCTTACGTTGTCATGGGACCTTCCACCGAGCAGGAGATGATTAGGATGGGGATGAAAATGACATGTGAAGTAATGAAGCCTTATGCCTTTAAGAGTCAAGATTCTCTAATAAACTGATTACGCTTTTAATATGGAGAACTTGGGAGAAATTTAAGGGTGTTCTACAAATACAAATTATTAATATTTAGTATTTCTCCTTATTTTCTTTTTTTTAAGATGGAGTTTCACTCTTGTTGCCCAGGCTAGAGTGCAATGGTGTGATCTCAGCTCACAGCAACCTCTGCCTCCAGGTTCAAGAGATTCTCCTGCCTCAGCCTCCCAAGTAGCTGGGATTACAGGCACCCACCACCACACCTGGCTAATTTTTGTATTTTTATTAGAGACAGGGTTTCACCACGTTGGCCAGGCTGGTCTTGAACTCCTGACCTCAGATGATCCGCCCACCTTGGCCTTCCAAAGTGCGGGGATTACAGGTGTGAGCCACCATGCCTGGCCGTTTCTCCTTATTTTCTTAAGCATAAAGCATCAACAAACATTCATGTATCTCGAATTCCCTGAAAATGATACTTGATTTCTCCATCTCACATTTACTGTGACTGAAACAACAGCATTTTTCAAAATGGAAAAATTCAAGAGGCATACTTAATGAAGAGAACAATAGCTCAATTAAGTGCAATACAGGGAAATGACTACTTAATATAAATAAATGAAACCAGATTTCATTTGCACTTCAGACATCAACATGAAGCATTACTTTCTGAATTGGTTTTATTGAAAACTGCCAGGAGCAATTTTTCAATGAAGTATATTATTCTCACAGCCTCTGTTTCCTGTGGCACCTTCCCCCATCTTAATAGTATGAGACACATCCCCTGACCTATGATTATGCTTCCTTTCAGGTATTTGAATATCAATATCTCTTTAAGTCAACTGTATTTAACAATCTGTAGTTACCTAAAAGTAAAATGAGTTTAAAGTACGGTTAAACTTTATAAACAATCTGTACTCACTTGTCTGGGAAAAAATGAAAAGCTATTGCTTTCATAGGTTTTAGGAACATTGAGTGAAATTACAAAAGTCAATAAATAATATACTCAATAGATTAAGTCTTATCCTTGAAAACAAATTGAGTGTTCTTTGAATACTGAAAAGGCAGTTTTTTAATGAATAATATTTTAAAATGGAGGTACCCTCTTTTATTATTGAAGGTGGCCATCTTAGAATTTCTCCTGGTAGACATGGTGTTTGTAGCATTTTGCACAAAAGACACAAGAACATCTTGGAAAATAAAGTAAAAAGTACTATTAAATTGAGAGACAAAGACTCATTAAAGAACTCATTTGAAGAAATGGCATCTCCACTGTATTACACAAAAATTGCTTCCAGGCACTAAATAAGCTGTCTCTTCGTGAAAAAGCAAATCAGTCATGTTGATTTTGTGAACATTTATCTTTAGTTCTTAGTGCAATTAAAGAAACTAGAAAGGCTGCCCTACTTAAGATGAAAGACATGAAAACTCTTTACTTTCTTCACTTTTCATAAATCAGAATGTATTTAAGTGAAATAGAACAAACAGAATGTCTCACCATTTTCAGTATTAGTTATCATCAGCTTTCTTTCTCAAAGAAAAAGTTTGAGTGATATAAAATTTTAATGCTACATGTGCATTTTGGGTACGTTAAACCTGTCAGTCTTTATATCAATACCACTTTAAAACTTACCTTTAAGATCTTATCTACTTATCAAATCAATTCTATCTTAGAGACATGAAATAAGAAAAATAATTACTGAGAAACTTACTTTGAGCTGAGCATGTAAATGAAAGAAATTTTATATTGGCAAGTGACTGTAATTATGGAGCTAAGTTTTTAAAGATGAACTTTTAGCAGTAATCATATTCCTTATAAATTTGTTCATGTTGTATAATCCTTTATTCTATGTTGTGAGAAATGTTTTGCTAGTATTTGTCAAGGATTTTTGCTTTTATATTAATGAGATATATTGGTCTGTAGTTTTCTAGGGATCTTTTTTTTTTTGGTATCAGGGTAATGCAGGCCTCAGAATGTGTGAGGACTAATTCTATTTTTTGAAAGGTTGGGGTTTGGGTTAATTCCTCTTTAAAAATTTAGTAGTATTCACCATTTGGTTCTGGGATGCTCTTTCCGGGATGGTTTTTTTTTTTTTTTTTTTGATTAGTAACTAATTTTTTTTCTTGTTATGTCTATTCATAACTTCCATTTATTCTTGGGTCATTTTCAGTAGTTTGTTTTTAGGAATATATTAATTTCATCTACATTTACTATTTACTTGGAAAATAATTGTTTAATAGTATTCACTTATAATCCCTTTTATTTATGTAAGGTCAGAAGTAATACTGCTTATTCATTCCTGATTTCAATATTTTGAGTTCCCTCCTTTTCTTTCATAGGTTTAGCTAAATTTGCTGATTTTGTTGATGAATACAAATAAATTAATTTTTGTTTTATTGATTTTTGTCTATTTTTTAAATATTCTACTTACTTTATCTACACTCTAATCTTTATTATCTCCTTTTTATGCCTGCTTTGGGCTTAAGCTATTCTTCATGCTTCTAGTTTCCGAAGGTGAAAGGTTAAGTTATTGATTTGAGATCTTTCACCTTTTTTTTTTAGTACAGGTATTTACATACAAATTTTCTTCTATGCGCAATTTTAGATGAATTCTGTAAGTTTGATATCTTGCATTTATTAATTTCAAAATATTTTCTAAATTATCTTTTAATTTATTCTTTGGCTTATTGATTATTTAGCAGTGTTGCTTAATTTCCATTTATTTGTGAATGTCTCAAATTTCCATGTTTTATGAATTTAAAATTTCATTCAGTTATGTTTAGAGAATGTACATTATATAATTTTAATCCTTTTTAATTTATTGAGAATAACATATTTTATGGTCTAACATATGATCTATTCTGTTCTACGTGCAATTACAAATAATGTATATTCTGGTATTGGAGGAAGTATTATGTAGATCCTATTACGTCTAGTGGGTCTAGTTATGGTGTTGCTCAAGTTTTCTATTTCCTTGTTGTTTTCCTCTCTAGTTGTTCTGCCCATTATTCAAGGTAGGGTATTGAAATTTCCAACTATTATTTTTGAGTCGTCTATTTCTTCCTTCAGTTTTTTAGTATTTGATTCATGTATTTTGAAGCTCTGTTTTTAGTGGATGTACATGTTAAAAATTGTTGTATTTTCTTGAAGAATTGACGCTTTTATCAATGTATACGGTCCTTTGTTTTTGTAAATCAATGACTTTTTGATTTAAAGTGCATTGATTTGGTATTAGTACATCAACTTCAGGCCTTTTATGCTTACTTTTTGCATATTTTATTTTTTTTCCTCATTCTTTTACTTTCAAGTTATTTGTGACTTTGAATCCAGTTTATCTCTATATACAGTATATGAGACCATTGTGTTTATTTTATCCATTTTGCTAATCTCAACCTTTTGATTTGAGTGTTTAACCCATTTACATTTAATGTAATTACTGATAGGACTTATGCCACTCATTTTGCTACTTCTTCTTTGTATTTCTTATGTTGTTTTGGTTTCTGTATTCTTTCCAAATTCTTTCTTTTGTGTTAAATTCATATTTCTAGTTTGCCATTTTAATTATCTTGTTATATTTTATAATATTTTTGAGTTATTTTCTTAGTGGTGCCCTGGGAATTACAATTCAAATTTTTACTTATAATAATCTAGTTTGGATTAATACCAACTTAATTTCAGTAACATTTACAGATTTTGCTCCTGTATGCTTGTATTTCCTCCTCTTCCTCTGTGCTTTATTGTTATGCAAATTATGTATTTATGCATTGTATTAAAATCAATTCAAATTTATGACGATTGTTTTGTTCAACTCTCTTTTAAGTCAGATAGGAGAAAAAATTGTTGCAAACAAAATATACAGTTATAATATCTTTTGTATTTACCTATGTTCTGTATTTACCTTTACCAATGCTCTTTATTGCTTTATGTGAATTTGAGTTATTGTCTAGTGTACTTCCGTTGCACTTCAAAGGACTCTCTGGAAGATTTCTTATAGGGAAATCTGCTCTTAACAAATTTTCTCAGTATATGTAAATCTTGAAATGTACATACTTCTGCTAAATATAGAATAATTGGTTGACCTTTGAATATAGCATATCACTTCCTTCTGTCCCAGTGGTTTATGATAAAAAATTAATTGTTAATCTTGCTGAGGACCTTGGAATATAATGAGTCACTTTTCTTTTACTGTTTTCAAAATTCTCCCATTGTCTTTGGCTTTCAACAGTTTGATTATAATTTATCTCAGTGTGGATTTCTTGAGTTTATTCTCCCACTTTAAGGTTTTTTGAGCTTCTTGGATATAGAGATTCATGTGTTTCAGAAATATGAGAATTTTTCTACAATTATTTCTTCAAATATTCTTTCTGCCTCTTTCTATCTCTCTTCTGCTTCTGGGACTCTCATTACGCTTATTAGGTGAGCTTGATGGTATCTCACAGGTCTGTAAGGCTCTGTTCACTTTTCTCCAATCTTTTTCCTTTTTTCCTTAGACTGACTACTTTGTAAGTTTGTTGGTTCTTTTGCCTCTTAAAATATGCTGTTGAGCCAATTTGGTAACTTTTTCACTCCAAAATTATTCATTTTAATAATTTATATCTTCTTATTGATGTTCTTTATTTGTTGAGACCTTATTTCTATGGGTCGTTTTAGTGTTTTATACATGGTTTGTTTTAGTTCTTTGAACATGTTTTAAATAGTTGATTTAAAGTATTTGTTTAGTATGTTTAATGATGGGATTTCTTCAGGGCAGTTTCTATGGAGTGATTTTTTATTACTTTCATATGGGCCATACTCTATTGTTTCTTTGAATGTCTACTAATTTGTTTTTTGAAAACTGCACATCTTTATAATGCAATTTGAGAACTCTGGAAATCAGATTTTTCTCCCTTCCCTAGGGTTTGTCTTAGGTGTTTGTTGTTACTATTCCCACTTTTTTGTTAAAGACTATCTTGAACTAATTCTTTAATGTCATATTCCTTGTCATGTATCACCTCTTAAGTCTCTGCTCAATTAGCTTACTTGTGAGCTAGTGACAAGACAGATTTCCTTAAATCTCTAGAAACGTTTTCTCCTAATCTTGGTGAAGGGCTTTCTGTGAGTGTTACAGAATGCTGTTAACATTCAGCCAGGCAATTTATAATTATGTCTTTCCCATCACTTCCTCCTTGTGCAGAACTTCAAGTTCAGAGGCAAGAACTGAGGGTCTTCTCAGGTCTTTTCTGAGTGTTTACACAGCCGTACATAGCGTGTGGCCTTCTGGATTTTCAAGAATATTTAAGAACTTTTCAAATCCTCCAATGAACATCTCATTTTCCAGATCTTCCTTTTTACAATTTTGTTTTTTTGGTTTATTTGTTTTTTGTCCCAACTTTTTTCACTGTGTAAGGCAATGTTAAACAATTGCCACTGAGCATTTTCAGCAAATGCTCTTGGGGAACAGACTGTTTCCAGTTGGTGAACTCTGAGTGAGGTAAAATAAAGACAAGACTTGTGAGTAGGTTTTTATGTACCTGCCAGACAGGTAAAATTATTGAAATTGTTTGAGAATAGGGATTTGAAAGAGCATCAGCCCTGTTCTGACCCTTAGCGGCTACTAGGCTACTGGTTTTCACAAAAATTGATGGCTGTGGATTTTCCAGGCTACCACAGACTGGGAAGAGGGAATGGGAAGAGCATAATTTAAAATATCACAAAGTTATCTGTTCTTTCCAAGATTTAGTCTCTTTTCTTGAAGAAATGCTCCAAATATGGGTACGAGCTTTTGGTTAATTTCTAGAGTTTTGAAAAAGTTGATTTGGAGAATTTTTATGAGTCTTCTCATTGTATTTTTGGAGGAAAGAATCTTTGGGAGTCATTACTTCATTATTCCTGATTATATCTTGACAAGTTTAAGTAAACTAATATTTCAGTTCTAACATACTGTTATTAGTGTATACTGCAGAATATTTTATAGTTCCCATGTTCTTATGGTTTTTATTGGTTACTTTTCCTTGAAAGAGGGTGATTTTATTCTTGCCTGCTAACAATAGTATAGATATATTAAAAAGTAGGTCATATTACTTTTTTTCTTGGTGCCATTAGCATTTTAAAGTAAGATCTTAGCTGGCTGAATGGAAGAATTATTTTTAAATAATTATTTCAATCATTTTCCCTACTCAGTGGTTGTGACTCATAGACTGTGGGACTGAGCCGTATTGAGCAATAGATAGGAGGTAGGGAATTTTACAAACTCAGGAAGGAAGTGCTGTTTTGCTGTTTTTCTTCATGCCTATTGAAACTACCATGGAAGAAAGAAGGTGCAGATGTGTTTGGCATTATTCATAGATCTTCCATCCACCAACTTGAAGTTGTATCTTTCCCTCTTAAGAAGAAAAAATCCTCCAGTGACAGCAATTACTCCTACACATAAAGAACAAACATGCCAGTTAGTAAGGAATTAATCAGAGGGAAGCTCTATCCTTTATATTTTTTGACTTACATAGTCTTATGTATTTCCATTCTGAACTTTAAAACTGTTTAAATTTTAACACAAAGACCAAGATATCCATCCCTCCTAGAAATATAAACTGGGAAGGTAAAATCAACTTTAAACAGAAAAAAATGCTTTGAAATTCCAATAGCACCTAATTTATGCCAGGCTGTGGTTAAAATGATTAAGAGAAAACAAAAACCTATAATCCAATATTACATAGTTATTTACCATTGACAGAAAGTGTTCAAAGACATATTAGAAAATAAAACTCATTCATACATTAAGAAAATAATGAAAATAGTCAATAGGAAGTTTTTCAGAAATGCAAAATTGGACCAATAAAAGAAAGTGATTTTCTTCGTTTGTATCACTGTCACTAAAGTAAAAGTATATATCTGAGCTAAGTAGGAGTACTTTGCTTTCATGACTACAAACTTCTAATGGATATTTGAAACTGCGTATCAATTAAAGCATATTTCCCTGTAAGGTTAAGCATTCCTCTCAAGGTTACAAAGAAGTGAGTCAGACCTAGAATACATACCTGCTTCTACCTAACTTGAAGGTTTAAAGTTTTTCTTTTTTTTTTGTACTATATACCATGCTATAGTATAGAAATGTATTATTTTCAATCCGTTATTATTGGCCCCAGTAAGCATGAGTAACCACTGTTTTAGTAGTGAGAAAGTCAAGACTTGACTTAGAAACTTTTCTGCAACCTAGGAAGGTTCATTGTGCTCCAAGTTTTGCTGTTTCTTGTGACAGACACAAGCCCTTTTGGGAGGGAGCATTCTATAGTTGCCACTCTCATATTTAAATATAGATTTCCAGACTTTCTCGTTTAAGAGAAACCTATTTAGCATAATCGTCCTTCAAATTAAATAAATATAGACACCATATTTTTACATTGTTTAAATTACTATTGATAGAGCACAAATTATATTCCAGGTAGGAAGCAGTGAAAAAGTAAAGCAGATTGCTCTGATGGTGCTTACATTCTAGTGGGAAAGACAGACAATAGATAAATAACAATATAATAAAATTTCTGGATGGGATTAGTACATGACCTCAAATAATACTAGGTAAGGAGTAGAGAGTCATGGAGTGGGAGGTTCTGTTTTAAAAGTGGTAGTTAGTAAAAGCCTTTTGGATGAGGAGGTATTTAAGCAGAGCTTTGCATGAGAGGAGTCATGAGCCGGGCAGATATAGGACTATCTGCAAGTAGGAGACTCTATAAAGACAGAACAGCAAGTGCAAAGGTCCTGCAGTGGAAATCTATTTGGAATACTTGGATCACCAAGTCTTGACAATTGGGGAAGAAAGGCATTAGGAGGTGAGGTTGTAAGGGATAGGAATAGTGAGGACTGAGGTTCCAAAACATTATTCTGTTTTAAATCTCAGGAATCTTTACATTCTTAAAGAAAATGAACGAGGATCCCAAAGAACTCTCAGTCATGTGGGTAATATCTATCAGTAAACACTCAGAAACATAATCTAAGTACTTTAAAAAATAAGTAATCAGAAATTTAAACGGAGCACTTTATTAATTCAAGTAAAATTAATGAAAAATCTATTAAATGTTACTGTAAATAACATGCTTTCAATGAAAATAACTGTATTTCCAAAACAAAAAATAGTGAGAACAGTGACATTGCTTTGCATGTGTGAAAAATCTCTTTAATATAAAGCTTGATAGAAGTTAGTAGAATTCTCATATCTGTTTCTGTATTCAATCTGTTGAAATATGTTGTTTTGGTTAAAATATATGAAGAAAATTTGCCTTCACAGAGGTATGAAACTAAAGGAAAAATATTTCTATAGACTTTTAGATTAACTCTGGATATTGTTATTTGATACTACTTCACAATTCTGCACATGTAGTTTCTTGAAGATTTGTTGTAATGTGAAATAAGAAAGCACATCAATGATATTGTTGTATTTTGTTACGTTAAAATCTATCGGTTCATCTTGCACTTTGAATGGCTCTTTTTACTTCTGGATGATTTTGTAACATCATGCATTAAACATTTGGAAAGTATTGGTCCATGGAGCTATGCATCTTCTAATTGTTGACACATTTTATTATATAATGTATCATTTTTAAGCCACATCTTTTAAATCACTATCCATCTCATCAGAAGGGTCTTTTAAGTATTGGGAAGCTGTCAAACTCAGGTGACTGATATGAGTGTCAGGCTTACTTTCTTTTCAAGAAAATGTCTGCTAGATATGCAATTTGAATAACCACAGTTTGTATTGGTGAGTGGTTTTTTGCAAGTAAAAATATTTTTCTATGGAAAAGTGGCAGTTTCAGTTTGCAACTTAGTGTTATCTGAGTGTTTTTCTGGAGACAATCATCATACTTGAACATCAGATGCAGCAGGAATGCTTTATACCTGCTTCCCATTTTATCACACTGAATATTAAAAAGATGTGTGCTTAAGTGTTGAGACTTAATAAAACACTAATATCTTACTGATGAATATCACCATCGATATTCTTGAGTGAAATTGACTTTTTTCTTTTTTTCTGTGTGTGGACATGAAGAATAAATGATTACTACAACAGCTTAATGCCCTGCTTCAACCTGGATGTTGCTGAAGCTCCAACAGTTTTACCTACTATTATTTTGCATCATCAGTGCAAATGGAAACATATTTAAGAAGGCAATTCATTTTTTGATATCATTATAAAAACAGTCTTGATATCAGAGATCCCATGAAAGGGTCCGAGAGAAGGGAACATATGTGGGGATTACCTAAATGAAAAAAAATAGTAGGGGAGTTTACTTTCTTTAATATTTTTGACAAAGAATTTATGGATATAAGTCTCTTCAGATTATACTAGTCTTTTTTGTTCAACTCATTTTATTCCAACTGTTATAATTACAATGCAATCACATTAAACAAGCATGATGGAAAGACAGTCATTGAAATGGCTGTACATGAAAATATAAATAGTTGTATTAGAAGAAAGCCAAATAAATCCGCCCAAACAAGCAGTAGTATTTCTAATCCCGGAATACCAGAGAGAAGATATTGAAATTAGGTTATTGATCCAGTAGCAAGGAAGCTGTGCCTGTGTGTAAAGCTAAGTGATTCCTTCAGGCCAAATAATGATGCAGGAGTTGGGATCGCTTCTGGTCAGAGTCATTTCACAAGGGATCGAAAGGGGTAAAGTTCAAATCCAAAGGTAAAGGGACAAGTCAGAACAAGAAGCTCTATGTGAAGACCACAAAGCACAAACCAGAAACAAAGCAGCACTGAACAGATGGTGTTACATTAATGAGGTTGCTTTTCTTGGTAAATTAATAACTTGGAACTTTGAGTGGACTCAGGCCTTATGCCACCCTGGTAAGGCCACAACTCTGTCTTTATTCTGCCAATAATTCTCTAATGGCTTCAGCGTCTTGACCACTAGCACACCTATTTTTAAGGATTTGTCATTTCACAAAGCTGTGATAAATTCACGTTTGGTTATAAGGGCATTAGAGATCATCTTGTTCAACCCCACTGTTTTGTAAATGAAGAAAATGAGTTCCTTATCGGTATAGGTTACACGGTTTAAAATATTACAAATCAGTACCAGAACTCAGATATTCTTGTTGTTTCATATAGCAGTGTTAGTTGAATATCATCTGAGATTCATCAGTGTTTCTAGTCTACTTAAACATGTTTTTTAAAGGTTAAAAATTCTACAATGTGTGATTTTTTCCTACATCTGAATCACCTTAATAATGGACTTAACTATGTTCAAAGCTGCTGGACTATGAGAATGTAGGTTACTCAGGCAAGGGAACGAGTTGAATTCCTTTTTACATATTATATGGTAGGAACATAAATAAGCTTTTGTTCTATATTATCATTTCTGGAGCTGAAATAATAGGTATTTATTTTTGCTTTTTTGTACAGTTTTTTTTTTAAATTTAACCCATCAAAAACAAATATGCTTCCATTTCTAGAGCTTGAATTCTAGAGGCATTCTAACAGTCTTTGAAGACTGATTTTACCACATGTCATATATGTGGCCTTGGGTAAGACAATTAATCGATTTGTACTTCAGTTACCATATCTGTAAAATGGAAGTAATAATAGAATGTAAAGGTCAAATGAATTAATACATGTAAAGGGCTTAGTACAGAGTCTGGTAAACATCATCACTACAAAAGTGAGAGTCATTATTGCAATTGCAACCATTAGTTTTAGTATTACCATTTATAATTTTTTTCAGAGAAAAATAGTAAACTTTTGAGATGCTGCTTAAGCTCCGTAATATTTAATGCATCCTAGGATGACACAAATTCTTACAAGTTAGAATCCCCTGTTTTTTATGCTAGAGTGTGGTATAATAATTTTGTTGTGAATCTCTTTCAGAAATGAAAACATGATATGTAACTCCCGTGCCCAGGAAAAATATAAGAATACAGGCCACACATAACTTGGAGTGATGATTTATTTTATTCCCATTGCTGTAGAATGTTGATATCCATGGAGTAAGTTTGCTCACTATTCTGCTTAAGGGTTAATCTTTCTGAAACTAAGTAGGTATGAACTCTGTAAACTGATATTCCTGTTAATGTACAGGTGTTGACAAGACTAGAAGCTTTTCAGTTATTTATATGTAAGCTATATTTTGAACCATATCTACACAGATACCAACCATTAATCTACAGCAAAAATTCACAATTACTAACTTGTTACTTTCTTTTATGTATACATATGCACTATATGAATTTTGTTTTTTGGTAACATAGTTATTTAAGTACAGACATTTAATTCTCCCCAGTCAAAATGCCTCACTGAATTATCCAGGAAATTATAAAACTGGAAAAAATATCTCTTAGGTAAATAAACCAACAAAGTATAAAGGGTATATTAGAAACTTTGAGAGTCTGTGCTTTCTCTCTGATACAGTTTAGATGTATGATCCTGAAGAAAGGCATCAGAGATTTTACTTGGGTACAATTAATATCCCAATATCCACAAATCTGAACAAAATAATTACACATAATATTTTAAAAATATATTTAATAACATAAATAGCCCTGTAATACAAATAAGAATTGGAAATACTTCTAGATATTGTTACCAACAATGAAGATATTTGAATACAATGGAAAAAAAGCAAGATTTACAAATGTTTCAGATTTTACTCATGTTTCTGATGGTACCTTAACTTCAACAATAAACCAATCAACTTATCTTCAAGTATTCCTACTTTGAAGATTATTGAGTTTTTTTTTTTTTTTTTTTTGAGGCGGAGTCTCGCTCTGTCGCCCAGGCTGGAGTGCAGTGGCGCGATCTCGGCTCACTGCAAGCTCCGCCTCCCGGGTTCACGCCATTCTCCTGCCTCAGCCTCCCAAGTAGCTGGGACTACAGGCGCCCGCCACTACGCCCGGCTAATTTTTTGTTGAGTTTTTAAATTACTAACTAATTTGGAACATTTTAGGCTTGCCAACATTAGAATCAGGATTGAAAATTTGGACTCATTTATCTAATGTTCAGCTTTGATAAAAGGTGGCATAATGCAGAACAAATTCAAGTTGAGTACAAAGAGGCTACTGCATAGCTAATGAAACTATTGCCATGGTGACTGTACAATCAAGGTGACATGAGTGTCATAGCACACTCGAAGCTGGATGCAGGCTTCCTATTGAATTCTGTAGAAACCAATCAAGTGTTCCATCTGATGAACCCCAAATCTTTCCAGTTCTAATACACAGCAGTGATGATAAAACATTTTTATTCTACTCTTCTTATTAGACTAATAAGAATAAAGATACTTTTCTAATTGTAAGTATTCATTTTGTTGTATTTTTGTATATCAGAGGAAATTCATTTTAGGCAAAAAGCTGTACAAAGAACAATTTTAAATTATTTCTCCTTAAAAATAAAAGATTACGAAGAAAATCATCAGAAGGGATCTTCTTTCAAATCATGGCCATTTGGGAACATCCTAAAATAATAAATGAATAAAGAAATTCACTGTGTAGTCGGTTTTCTGTTGGTAGTCTAAGAGTCATAGTTTAGCATAAAATTAAGCTGATGACTATAGAAAAAGAAAGGCTGATTAGCTAGACTGCTAGTCACTTTATTTGTTTTTTAAAACTTTCCATTAATAAAGGGACCTCACCTGCATTTTCCTCTTTTTACTCAAGAAATTTCCCTAATGCCTCAAGTACAAGTTGCTGCTCTAAAATGATTTTCTTCTTCACAATGTTATGTAAAGATGTTAATGGCCACATCTTGGTCATTGAATAGGGTCCGAGTAGTAGTTAACAAGGTGACAAAGGACCTGGATTATATACCACTTATTTCTTTAACCTTTTTTGGTGACATTGGAGGTATTGTTTCAACTCCCTGGGCCTTAATTTTTGTCATTTATAAAATTAGCAAGAAACAAATAAGAAAATTCCCTTCCAGCTCTAAAATTCAAAACCTTTATTTTTATTTCTTTATTTATTTAAATTAAATTGTCCTTATCTAAATGGTAGAAAGAATTCTCACTGAAGGAACTAACCACTAGATCTTTACGTTTTGTCTCAGGTTTTCTGTTGTTGTTTTATCAACTTAAAAATTTCCAACATGCAAAGTAGAGGTCTGAGGCAAAGTTCTGATTTCTATGGAATGATATCCGAGATTTGAGTTCATGGAGATTAGAAGCGTTAATGGAAAGAGGTTAATAACAACCTCAAGTCACATTCACAGTTTCAGAAACTTATAGAAAAGGGTGAAAGGGGCCATGTGTGGTGGCTTATGACTGTAATCCCAGCACTTTGGGAGGCTGAGGCGGGTGGATCCCCTGAAGTCAGGAGTTCGAAACCAGCCTGGCTGATATGGTGAAACCCTGTCTCTACTAAAAATAAAAAATTAGCTGGGCTTGGTGGCAGGCACCTGTAATCCCAGCTACTTGGGAGGCTGAGGCAGGAAAATCGATTGAACCCAGGGAGCAGAGGTTGCAGTGAGCCGGGATTGTACCACCGCACTCCAGCCTGAGAGGGAAAAAGAAAAAGAGAGAGAAAGAGAGAGAGAGAGAGAGAGAGAGAGAGAGAGAGAGAGAGAGAGAGAGAAAGAAAAGAAAGAAAGAAAAAGAAAGAAAGAAAGAAAAAGAAAAAAAAGAAAGAAAGAGGGTTAAAGGGCTAGGCTAACTGTTCTTGTCTCAGTTTAAGGGACTTTTCTTAAGCAGTGTCCTTAGTACAAACCACCTTATTTCGGTGGTTGTAGAATGTCAATAAGAAGATTGTGGATGGAAGGCATATTTTGATTCATTGGTCCAGTTAGAAATACGTGACATTGTAGAGATAGACTGTAAAATTAATACTCCACACTGTTTTCTATAAAACCATTCTTTGAAGAGGAAAACTTGAAAGCTATATATCAAAGAGCTATGGAAAACAAAGGAAGAATATATGAAATCCACTCTCTGTATATGTAAAGCCACAATATTTCAGAGCCAAATGTCTATGGAAATGGGATATGGGCCTGTAGTTTCTAAATATGTCATTTCCGCCTGCACAACTGATATAGTGTGTGTTTTTTTGAGGACATACTCAGAATGGTCCTTTCACTTAGATCGTAAGTTTATCTGGATATAAAATTTGGATAATAAGAATGCAACTTTTTGAAACTAATTTGAATTACATCTTCCCTTGTTGAGTGACTAGCTGAAGTTTCATAATCCAAGGATTTGGGAAAAAGAAGCCAAGTTGAATTCTTTAAAAATATGGGTCTATGTAGTTTTTCCTGAAAGAATTTTGATGTCTCTTTCGGTACTTTTCTCTCACCCTATGAAGATTGTACAGAACTATTGCAGCATATTCAGGCACTGAATACCTTACCTCATTACCCATGAGTTAAATTGGAGCTACGAAGGATTTCAGATGATTTATATGCTAATTAGAATTCTCTTGAAAAACAAATAGAAAACATGGGTTATGGTGGTGTAATGAAATCTTCAAAGACCCAGAGCTTTCTTGTGGTATGCACTAAATAAGAGAGCTAGTAAACTGGGGGATGGAATGTTTTAGTCAATAAAATTGATGTCATTTTGTACTTGTATAAGTCTCATCTCTTTTTACAAATAAGAATCTGCAGTTAATTTGAGCTTGTCAATGCAACAGTATCTGTTGTAGTTCATTGATTCCTCTGATGATATTAAAGGATGGTTTTCATGGGCAGAGATTTTATGTTTTGAAGTTATAGAAAAACTTCCAGAAAACCCACACTTGTTTAGTTTAGAAAGGGGAAAGCATGTACAGGTTTCTAAATAGTCATATTTCTATAAACTCAAAAATTTTAATGTGAAACTATTATTTAACATTATTTGCAAGCGTATAATTGGTTGAAAACATTTCTCCAGGTCTTACAAAATTTCGATAACCTTGAAATCATTACAAAATACAATACGACTTTGGAATCTAATGATTTTCTGAGTGTATTGCTGTGAGGGTTAGAAAATGCATTCATTCTAAATACTGTCTTGTCTGCCTCAATGAGAAGTTGCAATATTGTTTGTTTGTCAAGCAGCTTGAAAAGCTAGACAATGCTGTTAGGACCGATATGGAAATGACAGGTGGAGAGATTATTTTTACCTGCTGCTTTGTTATTTGGTAAACTCACGATGGTAATGGTTTTCTTATCCTTTCATTCATAATGAATTGGCATAATAAGAACTGCAGCCTACTTCAAAAAAAATCACTGTGTAATCACAGCAGTGGTAGCAAATTCATTTGGGAAACAACATCCAGTCACTTCTGTGACAGACATTTATAAACTTATTTGAGAAACCATGAACTCTTTTTATATTAGACAAATGAGCTTTATATACTCTTCATTTAAAAATTGTTTCACTGCCTTCTGCTACCTGTATGGATGTAGTGTTCTATGAATGATTTTGATGTACTATTCAATTGAGCATTTTATTTCTCACTCTTTCTACTTCTTTGCACATTTTTTGTTTTTTCTCATATAAAGTAAGAATATTAAGTTTGGAATTTTAATAGTTTCATATAGAACAATTAATGTGACAACCTCTTAGTTATTTGGTTTATGGCTTAGTAGGACAAAGTATAAAATTTCATGAATGTGATTATGAGAGGAGGTAATTCTGCTTTCCTTTGCAATTATTTATTGACACCATCTCCATGGCTTATAACTGTATTTGTTAGCCAGATAAGAAGTAATCATAGGGTTGGATTTGTGCAGAACAGAACTATTTAGGAATTCTTTTGGCTAAGGTCAAGGAGAGGGAGGGAGAAAGCAAAGGTAATTTTTTACTTTCAGTATTACAATTGTATTATATCAGAAAAATCCCACCAGAGCATATGACAGAGAGGTTTGGGTGCTAGAGGGAATAGCAGGTTGACTGCTGTGTCATTTAGAGCAGTAACACAGATACGAGGCTCAATAATGCAGGACAAAGAGAATTTGAATACATATTTGTTATGCTAATATTAAATTTCTTATGTTACATTAATCTTTCTTTAGGGCTGAGGTATATCTTTTTCCATGGTGAAATTGTCCCAAAATGATATTAACATGATTAATAGCTTCTCCAGACCTGGCTAACTCCCTAGGCTTGCACCAAGGTAGGTGTGGAGGTGGGGCTGAGGTATGAAAATATCTCCCCCTCCACCCCTACATCACAGAGCAATACTTTCTTATTTCTAAGAGGAAAAAATCAGTAATATATTAGCAACAAAAAAATATGAAACATGAGAGTTTATGGAAATACATTAAAAAACAAGTAAGAATCAAGTGAAACTTCATTTTGTTTGAGGACAGTGTGAATAATGACTTTACTTTCTCTAATGAGCGAATTTGTTTTCCAAAACCATAGAAATATAAATACCTTCTGATTCATTTCCTGGCAAGAGCTAACTGTATTACTGTAGATTATTATTATTTTTTCTCACTGCTTCTGTTGACACTGATTACTATAGATTATACCTCTCCAATTGTATTACTTCTTTTAGTGGCTCTGGTTGTAATTTGTAGGACAGGAGAAAGGATATTTAGGAAGTGAAAATTAAGTTCCACGTACTCTTACAGCAGTATTGTAAAGAACACGCACTCACGTCACCTATAAAGGGCAGGAATATCCTGCTCACACTTCCTAAGCAGAAAGCTTGCATTTTATTTTAAATTACAGTATTCCCCCTTTATCCACGGTTTTGCTTTCTGCAGTTTCAGTTATCCATGGACCATCATGGTCCAAAAATCTTAAGTGAAAAATTTTAGAAATAAACGATTCATAAGTTTTAAATTGTGTGCTGATCGGAGTAGCTTGATGAAATCTCATTTGGGTGCTTCAACACGCTTTGTGCAGTGCATCCGCACTGTCTATGCTACCCATCCGTTAGCCACTAAGAGTCATCTCAGTTATCACATGGACTGTTGTGGTGTTCAAGTAGCCCTTATCTTACTTAATGATAGCCCCAAAGTGCAAGAGTACTATGTCTAATGTATAAATTAAACTTTATTATAGGCATATAGTATAGAAAAAAAACACTGTACACAGGATTCAGTACTATCTGCAGTTTCAGGCATCCACTGGTGATCTTAGAACACATCTTCTGCAGATAAGCCGGGCTCTTGTACTCCTTCACCTTCTTCCTGTTAATTTATAGTAAATGGAATAGCAGTATTGAACTGTATCAAAGGCCAGTGAGCCCTATCTGACATGTCCGGAAGGTATTGCTGGATCAGGGTGAAGACTGACCAAAGGAAGTCACCCAAAGAGAAAGGCAGTATCAGAGAGCCTTCTCGTCTTCCCGAATCACCTTTTCCTTAAAGTGGGGGAACAGTTGATTTGACTCAAGAAATTCCTGAGAGTCTAGTGTCACTGGGCTTGTGTGGAATGTGGCTCCTTCCTTTTTCTGTGTTTCCCAAGGATTGGCTATGCACAGCTGCGCTGGGCTCACCTTTCAGACGAAGTCCTCATGAGGTAAGGAAATGAGGTCAGGCCAAGTCACTTCACTGTGCTCTTTGTTCAGCTTCCTTTCCTCTCATGACATATGTTAATTCAGGTTCCACAGTCACTGTGGTCTCAGGATTGGCACAGGAAGCATTTTTATTAGGGTTCATGCTGTATTTTCCATCTGCTTCATCAAGGATCCCTGTGATGATGCTGATGAGTCTCTCTGAAATTCTTTCTGTTCTTTTTCTACTTCATTGCACAGAACCCTTGAGGTAAGTAGGAATGCACCTGGAAAATGACCATATAACTACATATGTTAGCATAGAAGTGGTATTGTAATTGGAGATAATTCCTTTACCAGAGATCAGTTTGCATTGTTTTACGTACTTGGCTATGGGTGACTTTTCTGCTGATGTAAGTGAACTTATGCTAAAATGAATGAAATATAGGTTTTTGAAAATCAGTTCCTTAATCACACAGAAACACTTTCAGCCTTAGAGCTATTTAGTGAATAATGAAATTAAGTAGGTAATAGTGTAATTAATTCTAATATAGTTATTTGTTTACTTCCAAGTGCCAATATACAACTGACTATAATAAATTGTGGTACATCTGGGATGTCAATAAATATTATAGTAGACAATTCCAAGAATGTGAAATATGTGTTCGAATATGCATATCTACTTATAACTTGTATTAAATTGATATAAAGGTAAATGTTATATAATTCTGGATTTTTAAGTGGTTTTAATGTTGTAGATTTATAGTGAAAAAGGCTAGGAATCTCAAGCTGTAAATACCTCCCAAGTCCGTTCAATTTGTGCAAGCATATAATGATTTTAAGATATAATTTGAAAAATAAGTCATTCCTAATAGTTAAATGTTCAAAAGATTGACTATATTTTGACCAAACATTCTCTACCTGTTAGCAATCTAAAAAGCTTGAGTTGTTTTATAATTATTTGTTTGTATGTCTAGTGGTGTTTATTTTTTTGTTTTCCATAGTTATTAAATACTAGGTTTCAATTAAATTTATTTAGCTCGGACTGTATAAATATTACAAATTCATTAATGGTCTTATGTGAAAGAACTTTGTCTTAATTCCCTACCTTGTTTGAGTGATTTTCTAATTTCTAATTCTTCTTTAATTTTATACACACTTTGCATTAATTTTATTAGTACAGTATTCTAAGTACATTAATCTTCTCTGTCCTAATTAGATTGTCAAAAATGCATTAGTATTAGTTCATTTATAACACCCATTTAACATTTACATATCACAAAAACAAAATCAAAAAATTATAGGTACATGACAAAGCCTAAGGGATGGGAGAAGTTAGTTATACAAGAAAACTAAGCCAAAAAAAAAAAAACGTTAATAGAATTGAAAGCAAAACTTGTCCTGGAGCCTTTTGACTTCCAGTGCAACAAGGGATACATGACTTGCATTTGACTTGCTCTTATTAGGTAATAAAATGGAATATACTGGTTCAAAAGGTAAGAAAGTGTTACTTTGATATAGATTTCTGAAAGGGATTTATTGCATGAGTTTGTTTTTTCTTCTATAAGTGTATCCCTCATATATATTGAGCATTTGCAACAGCATAGTGAAATGTTGAAGCACATTTATAAAAAGGGATTTCTGAGATTAGTTAAGGAAACTTGGGAATTATGCCTGATTCCTTCCTGTGCTTCCATGCTCCACATCACTTAACCAAATAGTCTTCCAAAAATGTCCCAAATCACCATTTTACATCATCATCTTTCACATTTCACATCTGTGACACCATCTTTCACATTTCACAGTGTTGCATCATCTTTCAAATTGTCATTGTCTGTGTCACATATAACAGGCTCCTAAGTGTTTTCTCTCTTCCGTTTGTTCCTCTCCAGCTTATTCTTCACATTGCAATCAGAGTGAGTTGTCTTAAAATCCAAATCTGAAAATTGCTTCCCTTATACCTCGTTCATTACTTATTGCACTTAGCACAAATTTAAACTTATTAAGCTAACCTACAAAAGGCTTTCTGCCTTTCAAAAAATAAATTGTCAAATAATGATCGTATACATTTACAGGGTAGAATGTGAAGTTCTGATATATGTGTGCCTCGTGGAATTATCGTATCAAGGTAATTAATATATCCATCACCTCACAAATTTTTTTGTAGTGAGAACACTTAAAATCACTGTTTTAGCAATTGTGAACTATATGATACATTATTACCAATTGTGGTCACTGTATTCTGTAATAGATTTCAAAAAATTATTCCTCTTGTCCACCTGAAATTTTATACCTTTTAACCAGCATCTCCTCATTTCCCATCCTCACCACCCTCCCACCCCTAGACTCTAGTAACCACGATTATACTCTTTACTTCTGTAACTTTGACTTGGTTACATTTCACTTATAAATGAGATCACATAGTTTTTCTTTCTGTGCTGGGCTAATTTCGCTTATCATAATGTCCTCCAGTTTCATCCATATTGCTGCAAATGACAAAAATTTCCTTTTTAAGGCTGAATAGTATTCCATTGTATGTATGTAGCACATTTTCTTTATCTATTCTATGGAAAAGTATTCTATGGACATTTGGGTTGATTCTGTATTTTGCAACTCTGAATAATGTTGCAATGAGCATAGGAGTACAAATATTTCTTTCACACTGATTTAAATTTCTTTACACATATTCCAAGAATTGAGATTGCTGGATCATATAGTAATTCCATTTCTGGCTTTCGAAAAACTTCTCTTTCTTTTTTTTTAATGACATGTCGCCTGTTGATTAGTTCTTTTTTTTTTTATTATACTTTAAGTTTTAGGATACATGTGCACAATGTGCAGGTTTGTTACATATGAATACATGTGCCATGTTGGTGTGCTGCACCCATTAACTCATCATTTAGCATTAGGTATATCTCCTAATGCTATCCCTCCCCACTCCCCCCACCCCACAACAGTCCCCGGTGTGTGATGTTCCCCTTCCTGTGTCCATGTGTTCTCATTGTTCAATTCCCACCTATGAGTGAGAACATGCTTCTTAAAAGTGTTTTCCATAATGTCTGTAGTAACTTACATTCCCATCAACAGCTTCTCTCCATATCCTTGCTAATGCTTATCTTTCATCTATTTGATGACAGCCATTCTAACAGGTGTGAGGTGACATTTCATTGTGGATTTAATTTGGACTTCCCTGATGATTAGTGATGTTGAGCATTTTTTCATAAACCTGTTGGCAAAATACCCTCAGTCTTTTGTCTCTAAATCTGATGGCTTCATTTCTCCCAATTTTGAGTATAGAATGCAATCTAATTTACTAAACTTCTTAGAAGTTCTTCATGACTTCTCATGGCTCTAATCTTCTCCCTTGCATCCGGATATTTGCCATTGTATTTCCTCTGCCTGTGATATCTCCGCAGCCTCTTAAAGTGTCCTTTATCAAGATAAAGGATCAGAAACACTTTCAGCCTTAGAGCCATTTAGTGAATAATGAAATTAAGTAGGTAATAGTGTAATTAATTCTAATATAGTTATTTGTTTACTTGCAAGTGCCAAGGGTACTTTATCCTTTAATACTAATATTAACTTAATAGTCATCAAATATATTAGTCTAGATATCAATTTGTAGAGAAACCTAACTTCATGTTAGAAGGTAAGTTAGGAGGTCCCACCCATGTGCTCTTCTAGTGTGAAGTACTTACCTCCACAACTGAATTAACTGGACTTAATTGCAACTAACACATTGATGCCAGTCTTCTCCTAGTGTCTAGTGGAATAAGGAAGGTCTTGGACTCTGAGCCAGACTGCCCAGATTAATATCCTGACTTAACTCTTAAGTGCTGTATGATTTTGAGCAAGTTACTTACTCTTTCTATGACTCATTATTACCATCCGTGGAATGGAGATAATAATAGTGTTTACTTCTTAGGGGGCTTGGAAAGTTTAAATATGTCAATATATATTGCTTATTTTACAGTGTTTAGCACATAGAAAGTGCTTTATAGATACTGGATGTTTTATTACCATCCCAGTACCTAGTACAGAGTACATAGTATATATGCAATAAATGATTGTGGAATGAGCAATTATTCCCATTGTGAAGTAACCTAATTCAGAATTGATATAGTTGTGAAGTCTTGGGGAGGCCAAATTAATGAATTAATATGTCACTTAGACTATCCCTCTAAAATAGGCAATCCCATTCCATGTTTTTAAAGGGCTGTAAGGCAGAAAATTAAAATTTTATATGTGTGAAAATCTATCAAATAAAAATATATTTAAAGTAAGTCGTTTTCAATAAAATTAATAACATACATTAAAATACTTTTGATAGATTTTTTGTTAATAAATTGACAATTATACACTAAGATATATTCAATTGAAAAAAATGAATTAAGATTAAATAGGATTGATTTAACAGTGAACGAAAATGTTTTACTGCTGTATATTCTTTTTTTTTTTCCATTGCACTAAAAATGGCAGGTAGGCATACTAAAGCTGAGGAATGTCTACTTTGTGTTTTAGAAGATTTTAGAAATGCAGTAGGACAAATATCAATGAAGTGAATACTTGCAATTATCATTTTAACTTACAAGCATTTTAATCAAATTTGGGAAGTTTTCAGTCAGTATTTCTTAAAATATTACTTCTGCCTCTTTCTCTTTCCCTTCTTTTCTGGGGCTCCTGTTATGCATATGTTGATATACCTGGTGTTATCTCACAGATCTCTGAAATTGTGTTCATTTTCCTTCGTTCTTTTCTCTTTCTCTTCTTCAGACTGGGCAATTTCAATGAACTACCTTTAACTTCACAAATCATTTCTTTTGCCAATGCAAATATGATGTGACTCCTTCCAATGAATTTTTCATTTTAGTTATTTTAATTTTCAACTCCAGAATTTCTGTGTAGCTATTTTTAAAATATAATTTCTGTGTCTTTAATGATATTCTCTATTCGCTAAGACACAATTCATACTTTCCTTTAGTTATTTAGACAAGGATTCTTTTAGTTCTTTCAACATATTTACAATAACTGACTTAAAGTGTTTGTTTAGTAAATACAATATCTAGGCTTCCTTAGCGACAGTTTTTACTGACTACATTTTTTCCCTTTGTGTCTTATAACCTTGTTGAAAACTGGACATTCTATAATATAATAATTGTGGAAATCAGATTCTCTACCTTCCCCAGGGATGTTGTTTTTGTCATCTGATATTTTTGATCCTCTTCGTGTAGCAGCTTTGCTGTATGAATTCTGCAAAGTCTCTATTTTCTGTCATGAACAGCACTGAAGTCATGGCTTGGTTAGTTTACTGGTCAGCTAATGATAGGACAGAGATTTTCTTAAATTGATTTTTTCTTCAAACAACGTATCCTACCCTTTGCAGAGGAGCTCTGTATGTATTAGGGCATGCCTTTAGCATTCAAGCAGTTTAAAGCTGTGCCTCAGCCTTTACTTTCTGCTTAGAGATTAGGACCTTTCTAGGTTTTCCTGGGCACATGCACAGCTTTGCACATGCATGGGGCCTTCTAGATCCCCAGTAATACATTGAAGCTTTTCCAAGCCCACTAGGAACATCTCATTCTCATCTTCCTTTTTGCCCAACCTCTTGTTTGCCTCAATTGTTATCTTGGCCTCAGGCAGTTGCCATGTTAGGCAATTAGTTTCAACAAATGTTCTGGAGACAAGACTTTTCCTGTTGAACACTGGATGAGGTGAAATAAAGAAAAGCCTTGCTAATGGAGATTTCCCAAGGAGCTGCCAGACAGATTATATATGTGGGGACAAGCATTGTGAGGAGATCCAAATCCAGTTAACTGTTTCTAGTAGCTACTGGGCTGCTTGGTTTCACTACCATGGCTGTGAAGCTGCTGGTGTTCAAGGTTATTGTGGAACCGACAAAAATGAGATGAGAATAGGGCAGGTTAAAATGGTACAAGCCAGCGGAGGGCGGTGGCTCATGCCTGTAATCCCAGCACTTTGGGAGACCGAAGCGGGCAGATCACCTGAGGTTGGGAGTTTGAGACCACCCTGACCAACATGGAGAAACCCCGTCTCTACCAAAAATACACAATTAGCTGGGTGTGGTGGCACATGCCTGTAATCCTAGCTGCTAGGGAGGCTGAGGCAGGAGAATTGTTTGAACCCAGGAGGCAGAGGTTGCAGTGAACCGGAGATTGTGCCATTGCACTCCAGCCTGGGCAGCAAGAGTGAAACTCTTCTCAGAAAAAAAAAAATAAAATAAAATAAAAATAAATAAATAAATAAATAAATAAATAAAATAAAATGGTACAAGCCTTTCTGTTTTTTACTGAGGTTCAGCTATTTTCCTTGAAGAAATTCCCTGCAGAGTGATGGAAGTTTTGGGTTAACTTCTGGAATTTCAAAAAAAGGTAATTTAGACAGTTTTTGCAAGTGCTCTATCATTGCATTACAGATAAGCAGATTTTTGAGGTCCTAATTGTCATTCTGAAAGTCACTGCACTGTAAGAATGTTTCACAACTTTATATTTTTCACGTTTCCACTGGGACATGTCACAAATGCTGAACCTGTAAACTCTTGGAGGTGGGAATTTGCTCACTTACTGGATGGAGGTCATCTTCCTCACGACTGGATGGTTCTTTCTTGGACCTCTATCCTCAAATACCTCAACCACTGTCAGTATTCTGAAGTGCTTAGGGCCTGGGTAGAGGTTGAGTTCCTGCTTTTTTTCTCACTAAGGCATCAGAATGAAGCCTTTGGATCATATTTGCTCTTAGATAGCCTTCTTTAACTTCATCTGAAGTTATTTGGTGCTGAGATAGTAAGGCTTTTGAAAATTTGAGTCAATGTGCTGTGCTCTCTAACAAAATCATATTTTTTTTCTAAATCTTTGTTTGGGTTTAAGGATTTAAAGGATATTATATATTGCGTAGCAATAAATACATTTTTTGCGTAAATCTGGGCTGATGGGTTCCCTAGAATTTCCTTTCCACTGTTTTCTATTGTAACCTTGCAACTGTAAGCTCCAGTAACTGGGATGTTATCACAGTAACTCAGCGATAATGAATGAACAGCACATCTTTTAATTGGAACTGCTCCTTCAGAGCAATAATTATCATTGGGATGCAGGCATGAGAGAGTAACTTGTATTTTAAAATGAAAAAGTCCAACTTAATAGTTCAGTGACTGTTCAAAACAGAGAAAGAGAGCATCATGATGAAACAGAAAAACAGAGAAAGAGAGCATCATGATGAAACAGATGAATGCTACCGGTGAATAAGGCATCGGCTCTCAGTTGACTTCAAAATCTGACTTGGCTTAACTTCTTTTGTATGTCGTGAACTAATGGGGAGAAATATGCATTTGTTTTATTATGCCATTATTTTTCACATTCAATTAAGACAAAAAGAAATTAGATCAAACTATATAGCAGTGGCTAATCCTCAGACTTTTCTTAACAGAAGAAACTTTTCTGGCAAAAGTTTCCGTATCAAGGTTGAGTCACTCGACTCTATTTCTCAATTACTTTCTTGGCAAGACAAATGTGTTTTTGCAAGAGAAAACTAGTGTTGTATTTAATTATCTCTGCAGATAGAATACATCAATACAATTTTAATTAAGAAATTCTTTGAGTATCTTGGAAGCATGCTATTAGGAAGGCTCTTGAAACTTTTAAGTAACAAAGACACCTACAGGCAATGTTTTAAATGCGTTTTTCCTTCTTTTTCTCTTCACTCAAAGGGAACACTATAGTTGCCTTGATGATGTACCTATTTAGTTATAAAATTGCATATTTTAATTGTGTATCAGTCTGTGTTCATAACAATACTCTATATGTAAGAAAGACTCCTTTGTTTTTATAATAAAATAACAAATTTTATTATTTAAAACTTACAGCATTAGAATTATTCCAATTCGTCCCAGTCTTTATCATAGTTGTTTCTGTAATGTATGTGCAAATCTACTAGTATTTGAGGCATTATTTGCAATTGTGAAAATAGTAAACATGACCAGACAATAAAAACTTGGAGTCGTGATTCTGCCATTGTAGAGTGATAACAATCTGAGCTAACCCTTGATATATTTATAATATCAAGAGAGATAATATGTTGAAATACTTTAGAAATTAAGCATAATTCAAATGTAATGTGAAATGACTAGCTTTAATACTAAGTTCCGTATACTTACTGGAAACTGGCTTTTATGCAGAAAAAATGATGTAATCTTGAGCAGATAACAGTCACAAGAATAATACAGATTTTAGAAAATAAGATAAAAAGTTTTTATTTTATTTCTGAGGTAGACTGGAAGAACTGTGCTAAGAATAGGTAATCTCAAATATATGACATCTTGGAAAGTGAATTGCTCAATACAATCGTTAAGGTAATGAGATTTTTGTTTTTAAAAAATACATTTGCCAATATCTTTGTTAAAATCCATATTAATTGCATATCTTTTTGACTGTTCATTTTAGAAGAGCATAATTGTTGCCAATATCACTGCGTTTAGGTAGACAATGAGAATCTGTTTTGGTCTCTTAAAAGCTTTTATAAGTATAAATGGAGCATGAAAGTTAAACTAATGTCAAAGAAATTATCTCTCCAGCAATAAACTAGATGGCAATTTAAGTTCATTTGTTTCACAAGATGATCAATGTCTTTTTTATAAAGTATCATATCTTTACAACTAACAATATATCATTCTGATGAGGTCTCAGCTGAATACATATTTATAATTTTTTAGATTTTTTTCTGCCTTCAGTAAAACTACCACTGACCTAATCGTTTTGCCTAGTCTAACCTCATATTTCAAAATACAAACACTGCTCACCTCATCACCGTTGGGAATAACAAAAACTTTCCATAAAATATAGAGAATGGGAAGCTCTAACATGGGGAAACTATTTAAAAAGATAAGTATATATTGTCTGACTGCTATTTCCTACTTGACCTACCAGTATAATTTTGATAAAATTTACCAAACATGTTTGAAAAGTGAGATAGAATAGAAAAAAGATGTTTGTCCTATGTATCAGAAACCTATATTCTGCCCCTAGCCTGATTCACTCAACCAAACAAAATATATCACCAATACAGTTGTACCTTAACCCAATTATCAAACATGCCTGTAGCCTCAATATTATAGTATAATTATATGTATTTTTGTAGGGTGGTGGTAGAGATAGAGATTGGCATAGAAAGTGACAGTAATCTTCATTGAATTTAATATTTCTTAGTTTTAGAAAGTGTCCACAAATATATGATCATAACTTCATTGTAAATCTTCCTTTGTAAATGAGATAATTAAAAACTCAGAGTTGCTTCATATTGAAAGCCAGTAAGTTCCCCATGACAACACGGTAAAGGCCAGAATTTATCATATTACCTCTGTAGCAAGAGTTCAAGATCATTTGAGATTGTTTGTACTTAACTACTTGTTATATTATTAACATTAGTGCATCAGTACTAATATTATTAATGTAAAGCTTATATAAAATGATATATTAACATTATTAATAGTATTAATACCTGTGTACTAATATTAGTATTATTTGTGTCATTCAAGCATTCCTTGTGAAGAATAGTTCTGAAAGTAAACCATGCCAACATGCTACAAGAGTTTTCACCTATAAAACAGGCTTACTGGGATTTTTAGTGAATATTCAATATTCTGGTTATTGGATTCAGAAAGGCATTCTTTAAATCTTCATTCTCAGTATTATATGGGCTACATTTTTTTTTCAGATACAAAAAATTATGTGATAATGTGTTTAAATGGATAAGTTAACGTATGTACTTCAGGCTGAATTTTCTTATAATGAAAGTGAAATAGTTGTATAGAAAAGAATACAGCATACTAAAAAAGTGACAGCCTTTGGAACCATAGGAACATTATTTCAAATTCCACTTTGAGTTTGAAATTTTCCATATACTAGGTACTTAGCCTTGTGACTTTTGGTGAAATGAAGAAACTAATGCTACCTTGTAGCTTTATTGAGAGGGTTAACAACCACAGACAGAACAGATTCTCCTAACATGTAACTTTCCTTCTCCTTCTTTGCATTGGCATAAAAAACTTTAAACATTATTTTTCTTATCCAGGAGCAATATAAGTGTATGGCACCTGAATATTTTAATTTATTCAAACTTTAATGATTTCTTATTCTTTCATTAAATTAAAATAATAATAATACAAAACACGATACTACTTTAAAGTGAAGCAAATACAGTTGGAGATACAAAAAGGGAGACATTCTCTTGGTGTACTGTGAATTAAGTTGTTACCCAGGCAGTATCAGGTGTGGATTCAGAAAACATCATTTTGAAAAACTCAAACAGATAATCCTTTGGGAGAAAAAATGTCAATGATCTATTGTAGACATAGCTACTTCAGTTATCATTCATATTAGATAGGAAACCATGTGGAAGAAGTAGTGTAAACACTACTTCAATAGCTCAATCTTAGAAACACAAATGTAGTGATAGAAATGACACCTATGAGAGTTAGTGAAACACCAGAACATATTTATTATGGAAGCACTCTAGAAAAGAAATGGGATTGCCTGCAGAGTTGCACTATCAAAATGTAATTTTCCAAGTAGTCAGCAAATCACATACCTGAATTGTGTTCTCACATATTGGGCAGAAGAGCACTAATCAAACACGGGATTCTCAGAAACAATTCCACACAGTCCTTATAGCATGTGGAGATCATTGTTCTGAAAACAGGCGTTTCTAAATAAGCTCAATTGAATATGTAGGCACATTCTTTAACCTCAATGATTAATACTCCTTGGAAATTGTTGGTACAGTAGAACTCTGACAGTTTCTTAAGACACACCTTTAAGAATTCATGTGGTGGGCAGATCACTTGAGGTTAGAAGTTTGAGACCAGTCTGGCCAACATGGTGAAATCCTGTCTCTACTAAAAATACAAAAAAAAAAAAAAAAAAAAAAAAAATAATAATCAGCTGGGGGTGGTGGTGTGCACCTGTAATCCCAGCTACTCAGGAGGCTGAGGCAGGAGAACTGCTGGAACCTGGGAGGTAGAGGTTGCAGTGAGCTGAGATCACGCTACTGGACTCCAGCTTGGGCAACAGAGCGAGACTCCATCTCAAAACAAACAAACAAACAAGAATTCATGTAGCATAAAGTTTTCCCCAAAAGTACTGATGTTTTATAAACTTTCTTGTTTGTCTCTGTATAGGTCAGAAAAAATGAGTTCATTTAGATTATTAATTGAAACCACTGTAGAATATAATATTTCATTGTATTGTTTTAACCCTAGGATGTTTTCCACCTAAACATCATCACTTTCTCAGATTTAACTATTTTCTTACTTCAGTCATCAGCACTAGGAGTTGATTTTTTAAAACAGAAATAGATGCCTTTCACAAGGACAGCTATTTTTAATTAAAAATTATTTTTATAAGTGTTAGTGCATATAGAATAGAAAGTAAGAATAGTATGGCCATACTGAGATACAAATAGTAGGTGATTTGGGGGTTAACTTCATAGCCAAAGGCCTGAATAGGGCATGAGATTTTAATATGACTCTTATTCCTATTTACATCTGTGGACTGTGTGGAGTTGTTTCTGTGACTCTTGTGTTTGATAGTGCTGTTCTGCCCAGTATTTGAGAACAAAATTCAGGTATGTGATTTACTGTGTACTTTGAAAATTGCATTTGATGATACAACTGTGTGGCACAATTCCATTTCTTTGCCATGACTTATCCTAAGTCCACACGACTAAGCCCTCTTCCAAAAAGGTGGAATCATAAATAGTATACTTAGGTTTGCTGTTGGTTTAATTACAGCATATTAGTAAAATTGAATAAAATAATAATCAGCACATATTACAAATTAAGAATCAAAGCGTTTTTCTGTACTTGTCTATAGTTCCCTGAGAAACCAACAAACTAAATGCAATTGCTATAACATTTCATTTTTTATATGCATAACAGCATTACTTTATTATTTTAGTCTTAAGTTGTTTAAAAAAATCTTATACTCAGGTTCAGATTCAAGTATATATCATGACTAAATATAAGGGGATATGAATTATCCTGAAGTATACTTCTAGCATGCTAGTTCCTCCACTTCAGTAATCCAGACATATGATTCTAAGATGGCCAAATCTTCAAAGGTAAGCTTTTTTTTTTTTTTTTTTTTTGTCCAAGGCAACTGTTCCTTCATTTTCAATGTGTTCCTGATTATTAGATATATTGGAAGTATTCCTGCTGTCACTCTACTTGTCTTAAATTTATTCACGGCTTCAGTTATTCTGATTTTGCCATAACTTTCTTCTAAATAACTCATTTGTTTTCCATCCTTTAGTTCATTTTTTTCATCTTTTACATGTTTATTCTTTCCCGTTAGTCTCTACGTATTCTCACTTGTGTTTCCTTGGGTTTCCTGGTCTTTTTCTCATCTTTCTGAATAATAATTTCGAGATAGTTTACCAAGTTACAACTGATTAGAAAATAATTTCTCTATGTTTTGTGCTCTTATTTAAGATGATATGACACCAATTAAATGATCTTGATATAATTTGTGGCTGGCCTTGTTGCCAAAATACTAAAATTGTAAAACACTGAGAATTCAACGTACAACTATAAACATTTCTGTGACTATTTCTACGGCATATATTTTTATAAAATAGGAATTATGGGATATCTTCAAAGGCTATACTTATTTACGGAGCACCTACTCTCTTCCAAGCATTATTGTATAGTTACAAAGGAAAAAATGCCAATGAACATCTCTGCCTTCAAGGATTCAAAACATTTGCTTAGGGTGTAGTTAGGTAATTTGTCAAATATAGCTCCTCTCCTCTCCTCTCCTCTCCTCTCCTCTCCTCTCCTCTCCCCTCCCCTCCCCTCCCCTCCCCTCCTCTCCTCTCCTCTCCTCTCGTCTCCCCTCCCCTCCCCTCTCCTCTCTTCTCCTCTCCTCTCGTCTCCCCTCCCCTCCCCTCCTATCCTCTCCTCTCGTCTCCCCTCCCCTCCCCTCTCCTCTCTTCTCCTCTCCTGTCGTCTCCCCTCCCCTCCCCTCTCCTCTCCTCTCCTCTCCCCTCCCCTCCCCTCCCCTCCCCTCCACTCTCCTCTCCTTCCCTCCCCTCCACTCCCCTCCCCTTCCCAGACCTCAGCGATGATCTTGAGCAGTAGGATATGAATAACTCCCACATCCTTAGCATTCCAATAATAGAACACTAGGGGAAAGTCGGTTTTAATGCACTCCATTTTGGCTTTTGCACCCATCGCTCCATCAAAAATCCTCTTAGCATTGACAAAAGTAACCTTCATATTGTTAAGTCCAATGCCATTCCCAGTTTTCCTCTTATTTGTCAGAAGGATTTGGTGGAGTTATTTATTCTCTACTCCCTAATACTCTTTCATCGTTTGCCTCCCTGGATACAACACTCATTTGGTTTTCCTCCTTCTCTGTAGCACACCTTTTTAATTTTAATTTTTAAGTTTTTTATTTCCATAGGTTTTTGAATAACAAGTGGTATATGGTTGCGTGAGTATGTTCTTTAGGGGTGATTTGTGAGATTTTGGTGCAACCCTCACCTGAGCAGTATCCACTGAACCCAATTTATAGCCTTTTATCCCTCACTCCCTTCCCACACTTCCCCCTAAATCCCCAAAGTACATTGTATCATTCTTATGCCTTTGTATCCTCATAACTTAGCTTCCACTTATGAGTAAGAACATACGATGTTTGGTTTTCCATTCCTGTGTTACTTCACTTAGAATAGTGGTCTCCAATTCCATCCAGGTTGCTGCAAATGCTATTAATTCATTCGTTTTTATGGCTGAGTAGTATTATATATACACCATAGTTTCTTTATCCACTTGTTGATTGATGGACATTTGGGCTGGTTCCATATTTTTGCAATTTCAAGTTGTGCTGCTCTAAACTTGTGTTTGCAATTATCTTTTTCGTATAATGACTTACTTTCCTCTGGGTGGATAACCAGTGGTGGGATTGCTGGATCAAACGGTATTTCTACTTTTAGTTCTTTAAGGAATTTCTGCCCTGTTTTCCATAGTAACTGTCCTAGTTTACATTCCCACCAGCAGTGTGGAAGTGTTCCCTTTTAAACACATCCGTGTCAACACCTTTTTAGTCTTAATGACTGTTTTTTCCTTTTTTCTTTCTCTCAGAGCCCATTCCAATTTTAGCCTTCTGTATCTCAGTTCATAGCAAGTCTAATGTTCCCAAAACATTGGAATTATCCTTGATTGCTATCTTTTTCTCACACCCATTACAATATGCTGGGAAATCTGGTGACCTTCCAGAATGTGACCACTTCTCATCACTTCCACTTCTGTCGTACAGATCTGAACAACTTTTATCTCCTGCTTGGATTACTGTGCTATTTCTGTCTTGTTATCCTGTAGCCTATTCTCAACACAAAAGCAGGAATGATTTTCATAACTGAAGTTCATGTTAATTCTGTGCTGAGTGTCTTACATTGGCATACGTTTTACTCAAGGTAAAGGCAAATATTTGAATATGGCGCATAACACTTCGCACAATCTTGTTTTTGCTACCTCTAGAACAGCAGTTTTCAATTGCTGGCTGATTTTGCTCCCCCAGGGAAAATGTGATAATTTTTGATGATCATTACTGGGTGGCAATGGGGGTAGGGAGTTGGGGGGCTGTGGATGTTGCTACCATCCAGTGAATGGAGTCCACGGATGTTGCTAAATATCCTAGAATGTCCAGGTTACCCCGTTACATCAAAGAAATATTGGATTTAAAATAGCATTTGAGAATCCCAGATGGAAAGCCTCATTTTCAAATGTTCTCCTTTTTCTCTCAACTCCAACACTGGCATTCTTGTTGACCTTTGAAAACACAGGGATTGTGGAAACCTCTCAGTCTTTTCACTTTGTTTTCCCTCAGCGTGGAAAATATTCCTTCTAGAAATTCACATGGTTTGCTCCTTTACTTTTTCCAATCTCTGTTCTGATGTCCTATCTCATTGGGTTTCTCTTTGATCACTTGATATAAACGAGAATTCCCTAGAAATCTTTTTCCCCTAACCAGTCTTTATTGGACTTTTTAACATCTGTTCGTGTGATATCTATAAATTGTATTATTTATTGTCTGCTTCTCCTTATTAGAATGTAGAATGCTGCTGAGTGGCTGTTTTGTGTGTTTTGCTTCCTTCTTTTCCCTCTAGAGCAATGACTGGCATGTAGAAGGTACTTACAAATAATCATAATATAAAGCAATGAAGTGGAGAAAACCAACAGAGTCTTTCAAAGGAATATAAGAGAAACATCAAACTCATATTGGCTGAAGCTATGTCTCATTTGGTCATGTAAGGGTGTCTGATTTGTTTGGTGAAAAGGGTGGTGCCTGCCTCTATGTACTTTAGGTATAGGACACAGAATGCTCATGAGTCTTGCAATTAAAGAAAATGTTTCCTTGGAGAAATGGGTGGCATAAAGCCTCAGAGGGCCCAGAATGAGTCAAAACAAATCAAGTGGGAGAGTTGAGCAGGGGTAGGAACATGCACGGCCTTCTAAACTACTGCAAATCTGGATTCCTTGAACACAGTGAGAATAAGGAGTTGGGTCATGTCAATATTTTAAGTCAAGGAGTACCGTCATCATATCTGCATTTTAGAGTGGTCAGCATCACTGTGCAGTGGATCCTAAGCTGGAGGAGAAGGCCACAGTGAAAAGTAAGAAAATCAATTAGGAGACAGCTCTAGTAATGAGACGAGATAGTCATGCTTTTTAAATATTTCATTTCCTATACATCTTCGTATTTTTTAAAAATTTCTAAAGTAGACCTATGTTACTTTTAATAAAAATGTTTAGATTTGAATAATTTGTAGATTTAAGTAAAAAAAAATGAAAATATGCCTTAGAAATTAGGAAACAGGAAAATTGTGCGATATCCTAGATGTCTTCCCTAGAATCTGGTGAAGGAATAAGACCAATTATTAGATCGTTAGATATTCTTATTAGTCACTGATTTAATGAAACTCAGAGTTTCTTGTAGCATGTCTTGTGGGATGAGGTTCCTCACCCTCCTCACTTTCTTCACATTTGCTACTATGATCCATTTGTGCTTGTGCCACCCTCCAAATTTATGTGTCAAAATCCTAACGCTCAAGGTGATGGTATTATGAGGTGGATCTTTGGGAGGGGATTACGAATTGAGCCTTTCTAAGAAAGACCCCAGAGTGCTAACTCCACCCCCCAAACCTTAGCCATGTGAGGACACAGAAAGAAGGAGCCCTCACTGAATCAGAAAGTGAATCTCGCCAGAAACTGAATTTGTGGCTCTTTGATCTTGGACTTCCCAGCCTCAGAGCACTATGAAATAATTTTCTGTGGTTTACAAGCCACCCAGTTTATGGTATTTTATTATAGCAGCCACAGTGATCTAAAATATTTGGTTTTCTGTGCTTGTTTGTGAGTTGTGTGTGTATGTGTGTGTGTGTGTGTGTGTGTGTGAGAGAGAGAGAGAGAGGGAGAGGGAGAGAGAGAGAGAGAGAGAGAAAGAGAATGTTTTGCTTCAAATTAAAGTGTTTTATTCACTCTTACTTCATTGGTTCCCACGCTGTTGAAAACACTTTGGTACTTTAACAAATAAACCAAAGCAATATAGCTCCTCTAGCGATTTTTAGTAGTCTGTATGAATTGGCACAGAAATTTCTCTTCCTGGAACTCCCTCTTTACAAGACACTTGCTAGGAATAAACTATTTTTTTTAGTTATTGAATCATTCTGATTAGGACATAGTCTCACTCAATGTTGAGTTTTGAATTTTGGCCATCACATTTATTAATACTTAAAATAATCTTATATTTATTTATCTGCTTGCCTGCTTGGTAGCTAGGTCTCAGCTTGTCTGTCTGTCTTTCTAGAATGAAACTGCTTTAGTTGTTTGTCTTGTCCTATACCTAGAAGAGAACCTGGTAGAGTGCCTGATTTAGTGAGTGTTTTGGCTGATTGTATTATTATTTTGATATTAGAAAATTGCTTTTGAAAATGCACTTTGTTTTGAAACAAAGCTATTTGGGCCTCAAAGTACAGAAAAGTCATAACTACTGCCAGAAAAAAAGATTCTGAAAGAATATAGATTAAGGCAGTGCTTTCTGCTTATATATCAAAACAGAAGGAAGCATTTTTTGGGCTTTCAGCATTTGATTTCACAAACCCTATGGATAATTTCACTCCGTTAAGCAAATTTGAAATCATTATAGCCCAGTTTGCTTGTCTATAAAATAAAGGGATAGAATTAGACTGTCTTTCTGCTCTAAATTCCTATGCTCATACGTCCAACTGGATGATAATATTAGCTACAAATCACGTGTCTATGTTCTAGTTTAAATTTTCTCTTTAGGCCTATGACTTTGGGCTCAGTGTTTATGTTTTGAAGATCTTTAATTTCCTCAAATAAAAAGTGATAGGGTTTAAACAGATGATTCATTTCCAATATCTATGAAATTCCCTAACATTTGTACTTCTTAGATTATAGTAATATTTAAAGCTATGAAGATGGGTTTATTGCACTGTCTCGTAGTGTTTCAGTGTGATAAAGTTAGGATTGTTAAAGAAACACTTCTGCCATGCACAGTTAGGCTCATAATTCAAGAAAGATTGCAGTTCAGAAGGTAAGAGGGTAATATGAGAGCCATTATTCTTGGGAAGTCTAAGATGCTGGAATCCAAAGATGAGTAGACTTGACCCTGGAGTTCTTTTGTCTCCTGTTCCAGATATTCTGGCTTTTTCTTATAAGACCATTAACAAGAACACTTGTATTGATTTTTATTTGTCATATAAATTGTAGGAGTTAAGACTTGAGCTGTTTTCTTCTACAGGGAAGGAATTTAATCTAGTGTAAAAGCCAGTTGATGAACTATTTAGAAAAATAGGTGATAGACACTGGAACTACTTTATTATAAGCCATAAATCCTTAATTTGATCTTGATTAATGTTATAGTAGAGCCAGAACCCACAAATTTTTATTTAGAGAACCTTTGGGATTATGTAAATCTATTGGACATAAATGCCTTTGAGAATGCAAACCTCTAGGTTACCATTGTTTAGACCCAAAAATAAGATTAGTAGACATTTACTTCCCAGTTACCTCAAATTCTTTCCCCATGATATTTAATAAAATTTACACTTATTTTAGATTTCATTATTTGCAAATTGAGTTTCTGGCTAAGTTCATTCACCAAAATGAGCAATGTAGTTTTTTCTAATATTCAAAAGTTTTTTTAGTAGTGACTGTGAAATTATAAATCGGAGAATATAAAATTTTATCATTAGAAATGATATGTTTTAGAATGCATATTATTGAAACTGTTTACATACTTTTGTATATAATACTTACTGAGGTTGCTTGTAATGACAAAACTTTGCTAAAATTAGGAACATAAATAAAGATACCCCACTTCACAAAAAGTTGCCACAGAATTAAGTCAAGTAACTCTACATTAAATTTAAAATACAATGCAAAATGTTGATCATTATTACATCCAATTTTAAGAAAATATTTTTGTACCAAAACAGAAAGCACAGTGAATATGGAGACACAAATTTGAACGAAATAGCTGAAAACTGAAAAAAAAATTTTTATTCAGAGTCAAGACATTTTTGTTTTGGTTATATGTCTCATGATATTTTTGCTAAAGAGTTGGAGTCATTATTTTTCTTTCTTTAGAAATATTTTAAAATCCATTGAAATCATACATTCAAATTACTACTACTCATTTTATGAAAGCTAAACAGTATTTTCATACATTACAAGTTAATCATTTATTGCCAGATATCAATCTATAGCCAGACTATTAGGGCATTCAAGATATTGATCAAAATACTGAAGTCCAGATATATGAGGTTTACATGTCATTATGACTAGTTTAACTGATCTATATTTTAGTGTTGCAGTTGACAGGTAATATGTTTATAGTTCGTTCTTTGGATCAACATGTTGTTGAAGTTTCCCCCCAGATTTCTGCAGTGTCTTTAAAGATGCTTTATGAAAAAAATGTAATGGTAATAGTAAAATCATGGCTGTGACTTGCCTTTTAGTCACCAGGGACCATTAGAAAAACAACTAGCTAGAGCTGGCTTCCTTTGCCTCAATGGATTCCTCTAGGCTCTACCTCTCACCTTCAAATATATACTCACTTTTTCTTTCCTTGTTCCTCCAGTTTAAATCCCTTTGTCTCACCGGTGTTCTTTTTCTCAGTTTAACCCCTTTAGATTATATTTGGGTATGGGATTCTCTGCCTGGCTTTCATTTCATCCCAGGAAGTGGTTTCTCAGATCAATCTTTTAGTCTCTGCACAAATGCTCTATGTGTGTCAGGTGACACCTAAATCTGCCCCAGGGATATTTCAGCATTTTTGGTGGCCTCTACTTTTTTCTGGGAGGAAGCACCTGGTATTACTAAGAGTTATACTTCCTGTCAGTGATACTGACCTGAGTTCAGGAGAAAGAAAGCACACAGACCATAAGTTTTAAGAGAGGTGAATTTTATGTGTTGTTTTTGTCTTTAAATAAATGAAAAGTTGGTATTTTTTCATGGTTAATAAAATGTCAAGCCATTACTTGCTGCAATTTGTCTTATTATGTCTATGTCATAATCAGTTGAAACAGTTGAGATTAAATCGAAGAAACAGAATCCTACTTATATATGTGATAAGAAACTTATGATAAGAATTTGACCTTATATATTTGTAGCAGCTGGTTAAAGTCTGTATAAAGCTGTTTTGTGCTTGGGGTTGGAGCCTAACATCAGTAGAGCGGGTAGTCAGGAAGGCAAGATGATACTAAGTAGAACAGAGGATGGATAAGCTGGAATCCATGATGGCAAATTGAAACCTTCATATTTCTCCCTCTGCCTCTGAGACTTCAACTTTGACCATAAGAATACCTTCTAGGAGAGCATGATGTCCTTCATCACAGAATTAAATTCCCCTCTCTTTTACAACTTATGGTTATATAATGTCAGTGCGCTTTCTTTCTGCTGAAGTCAGGTCGGTATCATTGACAGGAAGCATAATTCTTAGTAATACCAGGTGCTTCCTCCTAGAAAAAAAAAAGATGCCACCAGAAAGAATGAAATATCCCTGGGGCAGATATGCTGTCCCAACTAGGATCCTGCAGAAGCCACAGGATGTTTAAGTGCTGTGGGCCAAATGGTGCCCCATACAGCCCCAGTGAGCCAGCAGCAACTGACAATACGTGTAAGCTGAATTCGTACGTGGTGTTCTCAATTCTTGTTTCAAGCATAGGTACATAGCTGCTGTTTCACTTTTACCTGCCAGCTCTTGCACAGAATATCTCTTGTGGCTTGCATTAACTTAGAACTAAGCAAGACAGCAGTGCTGGGAAACATAACTTGGTCTAGCTAAACTGACAAATACAAATTCACCCAACTGCATACAGCAATTGCCATATAAATTTACATGACCACAAACTGTATATAAGAATTCCTATTGGGCTTCCCATTCTCACCAATATTTGTTTTTGTCCAACTTTGTTTTTACATTTTTGCTATGATGGTCACTGTAAAATTATATCTCATTTTGATTGGTTTTAACTTGTACTTTTCTAATTCGTGATGGATTGAATATATTACCATGTGCTTACTGACCACTTGGGTTTCTTCTTTGGAACTGCCTATTCATATCTCTTGCCCTATCTTTCTATTGGGTGGTCTTCTGTTTGTCAACTTGAAGGAGAACTTTATAAATTCATGTTATTAATTTTCTGTTGATTTATCATTTTCAAGTATCTTTTCCCAATTTGTGGTTTGTTTTCTATGTTTTTAAAAGGTTCCCCTTAATGAACAAATTTCTTATTAAATTTAGTGATAATGAAATTTTAAGAGATTTTAAGAAATATTTTATAGTTTATATTTAAGTATACAAGATAATTTTTTAATATACATAATGAAATAGTTCCTATATTCAGGCAAATTAACATATCTGTCATCTTACAGTTATCCCTTGGAGTGCATGTGTGTGTGTGTGTGTGTGTGTTTGTGTGTGTGTGTGAGGTCACCTAAAATCTACTCTCTCAGCACACTTCCAGTATACAAAACAATATTATTAGCTATTATCCTCGTGCTGTACATTAAATTTCTAAACTTATTCATTCTACTAATTGCAACTTAGCAGCCTTGGAACTACATATCCCCATTTCCTCCCTACCCCCAAGAGTTCTTAATATAATTACTTTTTGGTATTTTGTTTAGGACATCATTCTGTATATTAGGCCATAAACAATTGTTAAGTTTTACACATTTCTTTCTTTCTCTCCTGTTCTAAAGCATGCTGTGAGATAAGTGTTCTATCACTATTGTTTGCCCCTTATGGATAACACATTGTCTCAGCACTAATTACTAAGTCCTGTCTTTCTCTCTAATACACAGTATTTATATGTAACAAGTTTCTGTATAGGTTGGTTCGGTTTTGGGGTTCTATACAAATTACTCTAGCTTTGTAATAAAACTTGATAATATTTCTTGGTGAGTGCTTTAGCTGTCACTGCCCACGAGATTTTCAAATAAAATTTCAAATCATAATATCAGTTAACTAAAGAAATGTAGTTTCCATTGGAATTGTATTAAATTCATAAGCCAGTTTGGGTTGAACTAATTGTCCTGTCTTTACACATAGAGTATCTCTCCATTTATTATAGTCTGCTTTAATATACAAAATTTTATCATTTGTTGGTATAAAGTTCTTGTCTAACTTTATGTGGGATTATTTCTAGGTGGCAAATAGATGCTTTTTGCTAAAAATTACTATATCTAATAATAAAAGTATGAATTGATTAAATATTCTTACCATAGTTTCTCGACCTTTGGTATATTTATATTATACAATCATGCATCTGCAAATAATGATAGTCTTTTTTTCTTTCCAATTATTAAATCTTTTATTTTTCTGGCCTTATTACACTGTCTAGAGCCTTTAGTACAATCTTTTTTCTTAATTTTTTTATTGTGATAAAAAACAGGATTTACCATCTTTACCATTTTTAAGAGTACAGCAGTGTTGATAAGGAGCTTAAAAAGAAATTATTTAGGCAGTTAGTGAGGGTAAGAGAGTCCTCAGTAAGGCTTCCCTTTTTACAAAAACGCAGCCCCCATATCATTCCTTCTCTAACAAAGAGCAGCCTGTAAAATCGAACTGCAGACGTAGATAAGGCAAGCTGGATGCTTGCACGGGTGAATGCTGGCAGCTGTGCCAATAGGATAAGGCTACCTGGGGGCCAGGCATGTTCAACATTGAGGCTCCCTTTTCCCTTTTCTTTGTCAACCACGTGTACGGTAAAGGAACCGGCAACATGGAGGTGGCCAGACAGAGAACCCATCTTCACAATAAAAGATTAGGGTGGGGCCACCAGTTCCTTCTCATCTATAAAACCCCATGCGTTTCACCAAGAAACCGGAAGACCCACTTGGGAGCCCCTCTCTCTCCACAGGAGAGAGACCTTTTCTGCTTCTTTCACCTATTAAACCTTGGCTCTTGAACTCACTCCTTGTGTGTCCACGTTCTTGATTTCCTTGGCATGAGGCAACAAACCTCAGGTATTACCCCAGATGAAAAATGCTGTTTCAGTGTTAACCATATGCACATTGTTATGCAACAGATCTTTAGAAATCGTTCATTTTTTACAGCTGAAGTTTTATACTCATTGAACAATTTCTCTTTTGCCCTCTCCTAGTCACTGGCAGTCACTATTCTGTTTTCTGTTTCCATGAAGTTTACTATTTTAGAGACCTCCTATAAGTAGAATCATGTAGTATTTGTCTTTCAGAAACTGGTTTATTTCATTTAGCATAATGTCCTTAAGGTTCGACTATGTTGTCGCATACAGCAGGATTCCCTTCTTCTTTAGGATTGAATATTATTCCATTGTATTTACATACGTCACATTTTCTTTATCCATTCACCTGTTGATGGACAATTAGGTTCCTTCTACCTCTTGCATATTGTGAATAAAGCTGCTGTGAACATGGGTGTGCACATAGCACTTTGTGATCCTGTTTTCATTTCCTTTGGATATATATTCAGATGTGGAAGTGCTCAATCATATAGTAGTTCTATTTTTATTTTTCGAGCAACCTCCATACTATTTTCTATAGTGGCTGAACCATTTTACATGCCCACCAAAAGGCCCAAGGGTTAGTATTTTTCCACGTCTTCAATAACACTTGTTATTATTTTTTAATTATCACCATCTTATTGGGTGTGATATTACATTGTGGTTTTGATTTGCATTTCCCTAGTTACTAGTGATGTTGAGCATGTTTTCATAGGCTTTCTGGTAATTTCTATGTCTTTTTGGAGAAATGTCTATTTAAGCTATTTGTCCTTTTTTTTTTTTTTTTTTTTTGAGACGGAGTCTCGCTCTTTCGTCCAGGCCAGAGTGCAGTGGCGCTATCTCAGCTCACTACAAGCTCTGCCTTCCAGGTTCACACCATTCTGCTGCCTCAGCCTCCCAAGTAGCTGGGACTACAGGTGCCCGCCACCACGCCCGGCTAATTTTTTGTATTTTTAGTAGAGACGGGGTTTCACCATGTTAGCCAGGATGGTCTCGATCTCCTGACCTCGTGATCCGCCCGCCTCGGCCTCCCAAAGTGCTGGGATTACAGGCGTGAGCCACCGTGCCCGGCCTATTTGCCCATTTTTAAATTGTTTTTTGATGTTGTTGTTCAGTTGTAGGTGTTTTTTCTTTTATATTGGGATATGAACCCCTTATCAAATATGTGGTTTGCAAATATTTTCTCCCACTCTGTATGTTGCCTTTTCCTTCTGTTGGTGTTTTCCTTTGCTGCACAGAAGTTTTTTAAAATTGATGTAGTCCCATTTATCTCTTTTTGCTTTTGTTGCCTGCGCTGTTGGTGTCATCCAAAAAAAAATTGCCAAATACAATGTCATGAAGAGTTTCTCCAGTTTTTTGTTTTGTTTTGTTTTGTTTGTTTGTTTGTTTTCCCTTGGAGTTTTGTAGTTTCAGCTGTTACCTATAGGTCTTTAAACCATTTTGAATTAATTTTTGTGTATAGTGTAAGGTCAAAGTCCAAGTTCATTTTCTCAATTTAGTACAATCGTACCTAAAAAATATAAAACAGGCATCTTTGTCTTGTCTCCATATTAGAGAGAAAACATTCATATTTCATCATGTGCTTGATGTTTACTGTAGATTTACTCTACGTATCTTCCATCACACCAAGTTACCTCTATTCCTAGTTTGATAAAAGAATTCAACCATGAATCTGTGTAAAGTAATATTAAAAGTGTTTCTCACTTTGGGGGACCGAGGCGGGCAGATCATGAGGTCAGGAGATCAAGACCATTCTGGCTGACATGGTGAAACTCCGTCTCTACTGAAAATACAAAAAAAAAAATAGCCGGGCGTGGTGGCAGGCGCCTGTAGTCCCAGCTACTCGGGAGGCTGAGACAGGTGAATGGCGTGAACCCAGCAGGCGGAGCTTGCAGTAAGATCGCGCCACTGAACTCCAGCCTGGGCGACAGAGCGAGACTCCGTCTCAAAAAAAAAAGTGTTTCTGTATCAGTTGAAATTATCATATAATTTTTCTCCTTTATTCTCTTCATGTGTGGAATGACACTGGATTTTGGGTATTTTGTGCAATAAAAGTCTGGAATAAATACAAAATGGCCAATATATGTATTCATTTATAAGTGTTTGGTTTCAGAGTTTGCATCCATGTTAATGAGAGGGATTGGCCTATAATTTTACTTTCTCACAATTCCTTTGTTGATGTAACAAGTCAGGTCGAGCTTATAAGATCAATCAGGAATTATTCCCACTCTTTCTGTATGCTGAAGAGTTCGTTAAGATTGACATTATTTCTTCTTTAAATATTTGGAAGAATACACTAGTGAGCCATTTGGGCCTAGATTATTTCTATGGAAAATTTTGCTTATGGGCTTAGATGTTTCAACAAATGCAAATTTTATTAAAATATCTATTGCTTCTTGCATTTTTTTTATTTTAGGAATATAGCATATTATTTAATTTTCAAATGATATTTCTCCTATTAAAATCTTTTAAATATCAGAATACTTTTTTCCTAACACTTGTAAATTTTACTTTCTCCCTGTCTCCTTTTTTTTTTATCCATCTTGTCAAAGTTTTTTTTTTTAATCGCTTTTATTGGTCTCAATCATTTTTTGACTGCGTACCTTTTATTTAATTTTTTCCTTTTCTTCCATAATCTTCCTCTTATATTTATCATATCCTTCTTTTTAGAGTCTGTTGCTTTTTTTAAACTTCTTCCGTTTTATTTTTCAATAATTCAATGTTAATTATATCACACAGATTTGGATATGGTATGTTGTCATCATTCAGTACAAAATATTTTCTATTTTCCTTTGACTCATGGATTCCTAAGAAGTGCATAATTTAATTTAATTCCTAAACATTGGACAATATTCTAAGGTATCTATTTGTTTCTAATTTTCAACTTACTTCCATTGAGGTCATAGAACATATGGTATCTGAATTCCATCTATTAAAATTTGTTGAGGCTTGCTTTATTACGGTGGTTAATTTCAGCAACTGTCTCGTGCCTTTAAGAATAATATATATTCTGAAGTTTTGTGGTTTAGTGTTCTATACATATCACGTCAGGTTTGTTATCAAAGCGTCTGTATCTATACTAATTTCTTTTGTTGGTTCTTCCAAATATTACTGAGTTATACATGTTAAAATCTCCCAGTATGTTTTTAGATTTACTTATTTCTCCTTTTAATCTTATCAATACATGCTTTATATATTTTGAAACTATGGTATTGGTTGCATATACATTTTGGATTGATATATTGCCTAGTAGATTAATCCATTTACCTTCTTACAGTTCACATCTTTTCGCTGTATTTAAGTTACTATTTAACTGGATTTAAGTTTTATTTTCAATGATTTTAGTTTTAATTTTATAAGTTCTAGAATTCTCTTTCAAAATTGTCTCGTGATGGTTTACAGGATTTTTTTCTTGTTAATATTTCTGATAACATCTTTTATTTCCTTAAGCATTTCATTAGTTTTTACCTTTTAATATATAATCATTTCTAGATCTAATGTGCTTACTCTGCTCATTATTCTTTTTAACTTCTTTATGTTTGCGTTGGCTTGTGAAAATTTCATTGTTAAAGTCTGGTAATATTTTCACATTGACTTCGTTTTTTACTACAAGATGGAAACTCTAAAATATCTATCTCATTTTGGAATGTTTCTCCCAGAGAGAATTGTGTTTACTCTTTTTGCTGTTGGCAGAGCCATCCTATGCCTACACATTAGTCTTTGGCTTTCCTTCTTCCCTCCTTCCCTGCCTCTCCTCCTCCCTTCCTACCTTCCTCCCTTTCTTCCTTCCTAGCTTTATGAGTTTAGCAGTGCAATTAAAATTGCTTGGAGTAATGTACACAACTTTTCACAATAGCTTGTTTGCCATACTTTCAGAAATGGCTGCTTTTGGTTATAAATTTTCACTGTCAGAAATTTTAAATTCTTCTGGAATTAAATCTACAAATATTTTCATTTGATAGCAATCTCTTTCCTTAATGCTTAAAACATTCTTATCCACACTATTTTTTTTACCTTTTATCAATTTATTTGCCTATTTATATTAAGATATTTATTTAATTCTAGCTCTCCTTTTAGTTCTTGACTTCGGGTAAGTTATTTAACCAACCTTTGCAAATTTTTCAGTTTCTTACTCTGATAAATGGCTTAATAATTGTCTCATAGTAAGTAAAAATATTGTTATTAATACTAACATTATTAATAAAAATAATTTAGCTGATATAGTCTATAAGGTAAGAATCTCATTTGAAGCTGTTTTAAATTGTTAGCTAATTTTCTTGGCAGAATTACTTCCTTATTGCTTTAGGATGTGTTTTACATACGTTACTGTGTCTTTCATTTAAATGCCTCTTCTTTCTTTAGAAAATAGCAACTTTGAGAAATATTATTTTTAATATAAAATTTAATATGTCTTAGGTTAAGACTTCCCCAACTCTCTTCATTTTTAACATTATCATCTCCATTCTTGCTAGTTAATTCTAGAAAAAATTATAATTCTTTTCAAAGTATTTTAATTATGTCATAAATCTATTTGCCTTCTACATTTTTTATCTCCTTAGATAGAAGTACTAATACATTTCTTAAACAAAAATTCATACAGAGTTCTTCAAAATAATATATATTACTTATTGTGAATTTAGTGTTAAGAGAATTATATGCATGCTTTCACCTAGGCTTTACAATAACACTTTGACGCGAATTTTTTTAAATGTTACAAATAAGAAAACTAAGACTCAAAGAATTAAATTATCTCACCAAATAAAAAGTTATTAAGTGGTGAATGCTACCTGTTATCATCTTATATGGATGTTTTTGTTCCTTCTTCCTTTATGATTTGCACTTTTTAATCTTTTTGGCATGTCAAAAAACCCAAATCATTATTGTGAGATTCTCTACTGAAAAAAAAAGAATTCAAAAATTAGCCGGGTGTGGTGGCGCATGCCTGTAATCCCACCTACTCGGGAGGCTGAGGCAGGAGAATCGCTTGAACCCGTGAGGTGGAGGTTGCAGTGACCTGAGATTGCACCACTGGACTCCAGCCTGGGCAACAAGAGCTAGACTCCGTCTCAAAAAAAAAAAAAAAAAAAAAAAGCCTGGGGCATAATGAAGTAGAAAAAACATGGACATTGGACAGCTTTGTAGAGTATCTGGCACAATAATTGACCCTCAGCAAGTGACTATGATTTTTCTTATAACTAATTTTGAATGGTAACAGCCACATACAATCAGAGGATGATTCCGGCTGCGCTTATACAGGTTTTCATTTTTTGTATAATATCTATGTGCACTATTATTATAATCAAAACCATTTTTGTTCAACTTCTGGAGTATCTATTTTGAAATTAAATTTTATCACCCTTTGAATGACTTAATCAATTTTTTCATTGCAGTAAAAAACAATTTCTCTTTATACTTTAGTATTTCATAAAATATTCTTTACTATTACAGATTTGTTGTGAAAATAAACAGATACAATAACCTATATCTCTATATTTTCTCATGATAGTGATTCAAATTATGATACCTATTAAAATTCATATGCAATGCTATAATTAGAAATAGGGTAAAGCAGATGGCATATTACTTATAATTCTGTTTTACAAAGGAACGTACATGTACTAAAGGAACCTAATTGCAGCATTTTAACATGTTTAGATATTGAAAATCTATTGCATTTCATAATCTTGTTAACAGTTTCTGCCTGGAAGAATATGATTAAATGGAGAAGGTATAAAAATAATTTCGATGACTCCCCTTGTATAATTCACCAAAACAACCTACGAAAAAAGACAATAAGGAGTTGGCAAGTTATTTAAAAATTTGTAATTTTCCTCCAACCTTTAAAAAACAACAGATGCTGTCAAGGATGAGAAAAAGGAACAATTTTACACTGTTGGTGGGAGTGTAAATTAGTTCAACCATTGTGGAAGACAGTGTGGCAATTCCTCAAAGATCTAGAAGCAGAAATACCATTTGGCCAGCAATCTCATTACTGGATACATACCCAGAGGGATATAAATCATTCTATTATAAAGGTACATGCACGCATATGTTCACTGCAGCACTAACCACAATAGCAAAGACAAGGAATCAACCCAAATACCCATCAGTGATAGACTGGATAAAAAACAATGTGGTACATATACACCATGGAATACTGTGCAGCCATACAAAGGAATGAGATTATGTCCTTTGCAGGAACATGGATGAAGTTGGAAGCCATTATCCTCAGCAAAGTAATGCAGGAACAGAAAACCAAACACCACATGTTCTCACTTACAAGTGGAAGGAAAACGAGAGAACACATGGATACACGGGGGTAGACAACACACACTGGGGCATATTAGGGGTGGGGAGGGAGGGTATTAGGAAGAATAGCTAATGGACCCAGGGCTTAATACCTAGGGGATGGGTTGATAAGTGCAGCAAACCACCATGGCACACATTTACCTATGTAACAAACTTGCACATCCTGCACATACAACCCGGAACTTAAAAGTTGAAAAAAGATTTTCAGATAAAAATGTGAATAAAGCAGACAATTCCTTTAAAATTTAAAAGATACAGTCATGGAAAAAAATATCAATGGGTTATGAAAGTGTACAATATGGTTGAACCCAATTTGGTTTATCATATTTTTAGGTGAACTGTGGGTTAGTTACATTAACATTTACCTAATTAATATAGTAACCTTAAAAATTAGATACTACATCCTCATTTTACAAATGAAAGAAATAACCACATAATGTTAAGTAGTTTTCCCAAGGCTATACAATAGCAAGTGAGAGGCTTAAAAAGTAGGTACTTGAAGTTAATGAAAAAGCCTCATGTTTTTTACAATCTGTACTCTGCCTGAAGGTGAAGAAGCTCTATTATCATGTGAATGTGATACTGCTGGTTATTGGTAAGGACAGGACATTCTATTGACATAGATTGAATATGTGGAATTATTTAACAAATCATCTTGAAGAGCTCTTATGAAACAGATAGTGTGCTAAATGTTGAAAATATAGCAGTAAACAAGATGGAAAAAAAAACAAAAAACATGCTCTCATACTTGGAGACCTAAGCCAATCAGTACCAGATTTGGGTGTTGTCAAACAAGGTTTGGCTCTCCAGTCAGAAATAAATCAACACGTTTTCACATTACATTTCTTTTTCAAAAACATCTTGGCAAGTTTTTGTCATTATGTAGAACACAATGTTCTATAAGTTTATTCTGATTATAAAAACAACATGTGCTTCCTGAAGACATGCTAGGGAATGAAAAATAAAAACATGACCAATTATATAATTATCTAGTGTTAACATTTCTAGGTTCACATTTTGTCCCTCAAAGTAAGACAATACTGGGAATGCTCTTTGCTGTTTATTTCATTTTTACATTACACTTTGAATAATTATTAAGTTATTTAATACCAACTATGAAATGATTAAAAATATATAAAAGCACAAAGGAGAAAAAAGCCACTAGTTACAATGTGACCATCCCAAGTTTATTACTATATTTTGATGTATTTTTTATACATATATATTATAGTAATTTAATTATTATAGTAATTTGACATGTAGAAATGTTAATGTCTTTATTTTTTAAATGATAAGTATTTGGTAGTTCATTTCCCTAACTGAGGTTAGTAATATTTATAAAGCTGTGAGATACAGCTGTTTGCTTATATATGTTGGTCCATAGTTCTGAATTTCCAAATGATAGATTTGTTGAACTGGAGTATATTCATGCTAATGAATCTAAGCATTTTCAGTGGGTAGAGTATACACTGTCTAATGGCTTTTTTTGTTTTCTTTGACCGGGTCTCGCTGTGTCATTCAGGAAGGAGTGTCGGAGTGCAGTGGCACAATCTCAGCTCACTGCAACCTCCGCCTCCTGGGTTCAAGCGATTCTCCTGCCTCAGCCTGCCGAGTAGCTGGGACTACAGACGAGTGTCACCACACCCAGCTAATTTTTGTATTTTTAGTAGAGACAGGGTTGTACCATGTTGGCCAGGCTGGTCTGGAACTCCTGACCTCAAGTGATCCATTCACCTCGGCCTCCCAAAGTGCTGGGATTACAGGCGTGAGCCACTGTGCCTGGCCGTCTAATGGCTTTTTAGAATGTTCTTAATTTAAATTCCTAAAAGTAATGTCTGATAGATTTGCAGCCCTGAGTTATTATTACTAACATTGAGCTGTGAAACATCAGGATATTTTACACAAAATGATATCATTTTTGTCTACTAACTTTCACTTATTTACTTTTAGTCTGCTTAAACCTTTTCCCATATCTTAAGCCGGCATTAGAATTGTTTGCTAGGACAATTCTGTTTTTTTCTTCTTTTTCAACTCTTATTTTAGTATCGGGGGTACTTGGGAAGTCTTGTTACATGGGTGTATTGCATGGTGCTGAGGTTTGGGATATAATTGAATCCATCGCCCCTGTAGTGAACACGGTACCCAACAGGTGGTTTTTCAACCCTTGCCTCCTTCCCTGTCCCTCCTCTAGTGCTCCCCAGTGCCTATTGTTCCCATATTTATATCCACGTATAACCTATGTTAAGCTCCCACTTATACGTGAGAATGTATGATATTTGGTTTTCTGTTTCTGCATTGCTTCACTTAAGATAATGGCCTCCAGCTGCATCCATGCCCAGAGCTTTACCAGGATTATTTGACAATGTGAACTTCCAGCCTTGGGGTTGGGCAGTAGAGGCCATGGGAGCAGAGGGAACCTGACAGCCAGCAGGCAGTCAGCTTGAGAGGACGCATAGACCACAGCCCCAGTGTGGGTTCGAATCCTGACTCTATCTCCTACCAGATGTGTGACTTTGGCTCTTTGTGCATCAGTTTTCTCGTAGGACATTCCAATTATTGTATTCTTTAGCTCCAACACTTATACTTGGTTCTGTTTTGTAATTTCTATCTTTTTATTCATATTGTCTGTGTAATCACTATCATAATTCTCTTGGTTTCCTTTAATTCCTTGCCCATGATGTCCTTTCATTTTTTGAACATCCTTGCGGGTCACTAGGGGATACTTTAAAGTTTGATAATGCATATGGAACACTTAGAATAATACTTGGGCTGCCCATAGTAACCCCTCAATAAATATCAGTTCATTGTTAATAAAGAAAAATCTGGATGCAGCCATAGAATTGATCCTATCAATCTCTTACCATAAACTCTTTTGAAGGCTCTTTCTAATCACATAAAAATTTTAACTGACAAATGGGCCACTACTGCTGTGGTTTAGGTAAATGACAATAAGGATGATTGGTTTTATGTAAGCCTTTGCTGATACCTATAAGATGAATAAACAGTATATACAGCCTCTTACAGAAACAACTAACACTCTTCTCATGTTGGTAAGGCCAGATTAGCCTTTTTAAAATAAAACAAGTTGCTACCAGCAAAAAATGAAAGAGATGGATCAACAGAAAGCCCAGAGCGTTAAAAAAAAAGTCATACATTACTGGAGAAGAGAATTCCTATTTAGTAAATTCTGTGAGATACGTGTTTAACAAGTTTGATGAAAACAGAGCAATTTAAACTGTCACCTTGACATTACAAATGTATTTAAATTTCATAATATCAAAGAGTTATAGTTTTAAAATATCTTTGGAAAGATTAGAAAAAAATAAATTTCTGTGAAGACATCAAATGAAGGATATTTCCTACTGTTTAAAATGATGAAAAATCAAATATATTTTAAATAGTCTATATTTAGAATCATAAAAAGTTTAACAGTGAAAAACAATTGCCACAGGTGTGACATAAGATTAATGTTATTATCAGATACAAAAATCTCATAGAAGTGAACAAAACATTTTCCTTAGATTAGTCTGTTCTTATGAGGAACAATTCTTTATGGAGAAGAACAAAGGAAACAAAGATGAATCAGCTTCTAGATTCTTGTTGGGTTCTGGATATGAGCTGACTAAATGTCACAAAAAAGGCTTGAAGTACAAATATATTTCTATCTATTTGGTAAAGAGGCTGAAACTAAGGGAGATTCAGTAACTTGCCCGTATTTATAGTTTGATAACAATAGAGAAGCCACAGTCCTTCCCTACACATATATGGGGGCAAATTCAGTCTCACTTAGGATGTTATTAAGGCAAAATAAAAAATCATGTAATATTTTTATTAAAGAGTATAAATTTATTTTTTAAAAAATATCAAATCTTGTGTATTATCCTAACACCATTTAAAAATAAAAGAAAGAAAAATATAAATAAAGTATGGGATATACTTTTTTTTTGGGGGGGATACATATTTATTTATTTATTTATTATTATTACTATTATTATTATTATTATTTTTTAATTATACTTTAAGTTTTAGGGTACATGTGCACATTGTGCAGGTTAGTTACATATGTATACATGTGCCATGCTGGTGCGCTGCACCCACTAACTCGTCATCTAGCATTAGGTATATCTCCCAATGCTATCCCTCCCCCCTCCTCCCTCCCCACTTTTGATGAGTTGTTTTGCATGGCTAAATTAATGGTTATAAAGATGGCTACATGAAGAATTCTTTGACATAAATATTAGGATAAAATGAAATATATAATTCATACTGTGACCTCATCTAGCTTTTAAAAAAGTAATAAATGTAAAAAAGATTATAAAAGATAGTGGTTTTTTGTTCCTCTGTTTTCTCTGTTATGTATTTTTTTCTTCTATATGAAACACTAAATATCAATTTAAAGAAGAAAATGAAAGAATGGCATGGATATGTCAGTTTAAAAAAGTCTATTATCATTTCCTTTCATCCCTTCCTTACTAAGGCAGCACATTCTCTTTTCTAACTTGAAATGTGTCAAAGACCACCTGGGTTATTTGTATTCATATTCTCCGCACAATGGGAATATAGATTCATATTTACACAGATGAATCGGGGGCAAGGGGTGACAGATACTGCTTTATACCAGTAGAGTTTGCTGTTGCAAATTCTCATAATTTTTAAAATTACTTCACCTGTGTAAAGTTTGATGATTCATAATTCTTTGATATATACATGATTTAAATATTTTAGCACTTGCCAGCTATTAAGTATAAATGATATAATATTAATAAGAGCCTCAATTTTACTGACTTTTACTGACGTCTACACTAAGTGATAACTTGACCATTTAACCCTTAGTCTCCACATAATTCTAGCATCTCCAAGGTGTGTCCTTATGACACGTGTCTGACTGAATTAAAGTATTCTTGGAAAAATATTAATAGATGAAAATAAAAAGGCCATCTAGAGATTACTATAGAATAATATATTAGCCTTTGTTGGGTCCCATATGTGCTTGCCTCATCCTTTCCATCCCTAGCTAGCTAAACCAGTGGGCAAAAACAGGAAAATGTAGATAATCCTATGATGTATAATTATCTTCTCTACTTTTGCCAGTTAATTCTTCTAGAATAATTTTGCAATTGATTTTTCAAGAATGTTTTCATTATAGTGTTGTTTTGTTGCCAGTTATTACCTTTTGTGTATGCTGTTCTGTATAATAACATATTTGTCTTCAACAATGAACATGATTTCCAAGAATCACACTTGGCCATTGAATTTTGATTGTCTAATGTTTATTGCACAAGGGTGAAATTAGTGACCAAGAAGACCAAAATATGATATAAAACAAAACTTGAAATTCATCTTTATAAGAAAAGATTCAGCTTATAATTAAACAATTGCATATTTGAAAATAAGTACTATTTCAAAGAAAAACGCTATTATTTTAAGGAACAGACAAAAATAATGCCTTAATACATTAAAAAATTGACACTGAAATTATAGTTTATCCCCCCAAAAGTTACTACTTATAGGTAGTTTGTGATAGTGCTATCATTTTTCTTGAAGTAGAGATAGATATTCAAGCATATAGGGGGACTAATACTTGTAGTTTTTTTTTTTGAGATGGAGTCTCGCTCTGTCACCCAGACTGGAGTGCAGTGGTGCAATCTCGGCTCATCACAACCTCCACCTCCTAGGTTCATGCAATTCTCTTGCCTCAGCCTGCTGAGTAACTGGGATTACAGGTTCCTGCCACTACATCTGGCTAATTTTTGTATTTTTTATGGAGACAGGGTTTAACCATGTTGCCAGGCTAGTCTTGAACTCCTGACCTCAAGTGATCAGCTCACCTTGGCCTCCCAAAGTATTGGCATTACAGGCTTGAGCCACCACCCTCAGCTTGTAATTTTTTTAAAAAAGGCTCTAAAATTTAAATGATTGGATATAAACTGCAATTTTAAAGAAATTATTTTAAATGTCTTCATGCATTTCTTTTGATTAGCTATTGCTGTGTAACAAATTATGACAAACTTAATGGCTTAACACAACAAACACTTATTATATCACAGTTTCTTGGGTCAGGAATCAGAGCATAGATTAGGAGGGTCCTGGACTGAAACCTGTCAATGTTTCATAGGCTGCAATCAAGGTGACAGCAAAGTTGTGGTCTCATTTGAGGCTCAACTGGGGAAGGATCTGCCTGCAGGTTCATGTGGTTGACAACATTCAGTTCTTTGTGAACTGCTGAATTGAGGGCCTCAGATCTTTTCTGGCCATGAGCCAGAGGGTATAGTCAGTCCTTTGCCACCACATGAGACTCTCCACATTTCAGCTTATTGCCTCAGACCCAGCAAGGGAATGACACAATACAGAGGGTCTGCTGGCCATACAGAAGTTACAATCTTATGTAATGCAATAATGGAATTAACATCCCATAACATTTGGCTTCTTTTACTGGTTTTAAGAAGGTCACAGGTCCTGCCCACACTCAAAATTATATAAGACCCGCATATCAGGAGGCGGGATAACTGGTGATCATTTTAGAGTTTGTCCAACATAGTTTTAAATGTAAGAAAATATCCTAAGAATAATAAGCAATATACATATATAACTGTATAAGTGAAAAAAGCATATGAATCATTACTGATTTTTTTCATTGTTTTGGTATCAGGTATTTACTCAATAAGAAATGTGGGCATTTTGACAAATAATACTAATAATGATGCATTGAAGGTATATTATAGAACAGGATTTTTTAGGATACAGAACTTCTAATTTTTACATAAATATTAATACTTTAGTAATACTTTAAATACTTTAAATAGCAATACTTCTAATGGCAAAAACCACAGTTACTTTTGCACCAACCTAATACTATGAATAAAAAAAGAAAGCTTAAGTAGCCTTAGAAAAGATTTGAGCAAAGTAAAAACAGTACTGCATTGTATCCAAGCTAAGGTGCATTAGTTGTAAGATGCACTATTATCTTATATACCACTAAAAACAATACTGTTAATTTTGTACCATGATATAATACTTTTTTTCTATCTTAGAATTGTATACTTACTGAAGGATCTCTTTTAGGCTTAATTTACCACATAAATGTTCATTTATTTATGTTTCATGTATATAAAAGAAAAATGAAGTGAAACAAATTAGGTAAAATATTCCTAAAATTTCTTTATATTTGGAGCGTGACTGTTCTGAATCGACTTTTGATGCAGAGTAATCCAGGTACATGTTTTCACACACATTATGGTCCTCCCTGGCTCTGTAACACCAGAGATTTAGGGGAACAGCATTTCTTAAGGAGTCTATAAAATAATTCAAAGCTTTTTATGCTGAACTCTAAAACTGGCTTTGTGAGTATGTAGAGCTGGTCTACATTTTCTCCTTCTCTAAGACTGTTGCGAAACGTATCAAGCCACCACAGAGCCCAACCTCTTCCTCACAATCACTTTTTCCTAGGGATAAAATGTGTTTATTGCACTATCGAATCCAAGTTTTCTATCCAAGCATTGACTTCTATCCTACTAGTTTTGACCCTGAAACTTTTGTTGCTTGCTTATATATAGGCAATGACAATTCCATCATGCCATGCCAACAGCCGTTGTTGGGTGTTTATTGAGTTCAAGGATTATAAAATGTGGAAGAAGTGTACATCATAATACTCTATGAAGTACAATAAGTGTTAGACCCACAATTTAAACTTAGATTTATATTATGTCAAAGTTTATTATCTTTTCTATCCATCATATTAACTTCAAAAATAGCAGTCTACAAAATTAAAGGTTCTTGACTTTAGTGTGAAGCTCTTTTAGGTATTTTTAGTTATTTTCCCCCAGTGTCAGTAAAAAGTACAATACACTTGGTGTTTCTCACATCTTGCATATAATCTAAGGAAAATATTATTTTCCAAGGCAAATTTGAAGTTATTCCTATAGCTTATATTTTGGAGACTGTAAAGGTGTTCTGAACTCAGTAGGACATTATCTCCAAAAGTGCTTTGATTGCAGATTTCTGTCAAGGTATGGGATATAATAATAAACATATAAACAAAAATACAAAACTGATCTTTGTAAGAAAATCAGTTCAGAATATTAAAGCTATATGTTGAACCTTTTCTAAAATTTAGTTTCAAATTTAAAAAAATTCTCACTATTTTTACTTTGTACTTTATTCATATATTTTAAATGATGTATTTCTGTTATAAAAATGTTCTACTTCTCTGCAGAGTTCACAGAAAAAAGAAAAAGTTCTAGGCAATATAATGAAACTAATACAGTGCAATCATTTAATTAATGTTTGTAGTAACTTAATATTTACATGGGCATTTGCTATAAAAATAAGCTGGAGTACCTGTGTAGTCTTAGAACAGAGTTTAGATAATAGAATAAAAATGTGGAATTAAAAAAATAAAAACTGCATACATGATCAAAAAGTTTGCTAAAGAATTGTAGAGGGAGAAATATCAGTGTAACTATACCAATGATGCAAGTCTCAAAAGCTTTACAATGAAATAAATGGGTATATTCATCGACCATTTTTAATAATATTCAACAGTGAAATTAGAAACATTGGAAAATAATGTGTATATTCCAGATGAATGCATTAAAAAATAAGAAAATGGGGCCCAAGTAGCTGTAATTGTTATTCAATTCGGTCTACAGCACTATTTTCATTAAAACAATAAAATGGTGACTATTTTCATTAGTTAAGGAGTTTTGGTTATGGCAACTGAAATTGACTCTGATTAACTTAAGTAGAAATTTAAGTTTTCTGAACGTTCAGTTCAGATAATCTATGGGAATTCTCAGGAAAGAATAGATCGTAGAAAAGGGTAGGAGGTGCATTTACTATGCAGTAATGAAACTGAAGTTTCAAGTTCTTCCAAGTAATTCTTCCAATTACTTCCAAGTAATTTTTGTTATTTTGCATTCTTTTGTTTTCAAGTGGACCCTCCAAACTGTATAAGCTGTGGTCCCACATAACTTGGAACCTCTTGACTCCAGCAAGCACAATGATTCAATTCATGAGAACACCATCAAAATACAAAAATGCAATTAATAGGCTCTAACTGTCTTTCAGTCTTTACATTATTCTGCTGAAGATTTAAGTTCCTAGAAGAGAGAGAACCCAGTAGGCCTACCTTTCTTCGGTCATGAGAACACACTGTAACCAGAAGTTAAACAGTCCTAGGAAGGGTACATATAGTGGAGAAGAAATTCATGAAGGTTTACCCCTACATCTATCCTCATCTTTAGTCCTAAAAGTATGCTTTCAAAAAACTTCCCACCTGACATAATGCAAACATTCCCTGTAAAAATAAAATCGTCATCCTACCCCTAAGAACATTTTCCAGATTCAATTCCAAGATTTCTAAGTGGTATTCATTGTCCTTAATTTCCACCATGATCTTGTTCTGGTATATTGGCTAAATATATCACTGGCAAATGGTGAAGTTATATGCAATAGTGAGGGAAAGAAAGTCAAAGGGAAATTTGAAATATATATAGAACACTAGAACTTATTCCTTCTATTTAGCTGTAATTTTGTATTCTTTAAAAAATCTCTCCTATAGCACTGGAGGGTCTATAGTTTAGTTAACAATAATGATATAGAAGTTAAAAAGAAATTATTTAGGCAGATAGTGAGGGCAAGGAAGCCCTCAGTAAGGCTTTCCTTTTAATGAAAAGCAGCCCCGAAATAACTTTCTTTTCTAACAAAGAGCAGCCTGTAAAATCGAGTTGCAGACATAGAAAGGAATGCTAGAAGCTTGCACGGGGGAATGCTGGCAGTTGCGCCGATAGGAAAGAAGCTACCCGGGAACTAGGCACGTTTAAAATGGCGGCTCCATCTTCTCTTCTCTTTGCCAGCCTCGTGTATAGTAAGGAGCAAACAAGATGGCCATGGCCAAGCAAAGACACCATTTGCATAGTAAGAGGATTAGGATGGAGTGGCCAACTTCCTCTGCTGCTATGTAAGCATCATGCCTGGTCCAACCAATCTGTGGGCCTTATGTAAATCAGACACCACTTCCTCAAGCCTGTCTATAAAATCTAGTGCACTCCCTTGTGGGCTGGAATTCCCATTCAGTCACTCCTCTCTCTCAAGGGAGAGAGAGTTATTCTTTTTTCTTTTTCTTTTGCCTGTTAAACCTCTGCTCTTAACCTCAATCCATATGTGTCTGAGTCCTTGATTTCCTTGGCATGAGGCAATGAACCTCCCGTATTTACCCCAGACAGTGACGCTGCTTCAATAATATGTTGTATAATTTCAAATAGCTAGATGGAGGATATTGAATGTTCCCAACACAAAGATATGACACATGTTTAAAATTTTGAATATGCTAATTACCCTAATTTGATCACCATATGATTGAAACATCACTATGCACCCTATGAATATGTACAATTATTATGTGTCAATTAAAAAATTAAATTCGGGAAAGAAAAAATTAAGTTCTTTTCTTAATTAAAAATATATGTATATATTATATATATATGAAGGAGGAAGAGTAGTATTCACAAATAGCTCATAATACAAGTTAGATATCCAGAAAAAATAGATTGCAAAACACCTATAGTCTTTCTCCTGTGCTCTGACATTCTGATTAGCAGGAAAGTGATTAGCTGAATGTCAAACAAGATTAAGTTTAGTCTGAACTGGTAATCAAGAGTTTTTTTAGATTGTGCTTCATCTTTCATGCGGATAAAAATGCTCAGTTTCTCAGATCCCTCTGCTTCCCCTGCTTCTCTCCTTCTGTTCAAGTGGATAAGGATTGAAGGAGAATTGCGGGCTTCTGGCTTGGGGAATGAGGTAAGGAGCAGCACCCTGGCCTCATGCTGGTGTGGAAGGTACACAGGGGTTTTTATGCTTCTCCTGAATAAATTTCTGTCCTTCTGAGTGTTTCTGGTCTTGAAGTGTGTAACTAGCGATCATGTTTCTCTTGGTCCATTGCTAACCTTTCAGTATATATTAGCTAAATGGGCCTCAGCTCAGCTCTCACCGATGGCAGACACTGAGGCTCTGCGTGTCTTCCAATCTGTGAGAACCTGATTCCAGCATCAGCTAAGAAGCCACCTCCCATTACTCTGACAGAGCCGGTGGCAAGCCCACTGGGTCTTCAAACAGTTCCCTGATTCACAGTGTACTGAACACAGCCCAGGATTGCTAAACTCCAGTGCCTGCCTCACTGCGCATGAGCACACTGGATGTAGGCATGCTAAATCGTTGCACAGTAACTTCTTTGTTTCTTGTTGCCCTCCATTTGTCGAATGCACTCCCCTGCTCGGTGAACCTGATTCCAAAGAAGAAAAATCAGGAGATGTATTTATAGTCCTTTTCCTTGATTTCATGATCCTACAATTGCCTTTTTGTGAAAGAGCTTTCCATTCATCATAATATTAATAACATCTCCTTCTTCCTAGCTCCAATAGATGGATATCTAAGCCTTAATGGAAAATACAGATATTCTAATTAATTACTGTAATTAAATTATGGGATAACCTATGAGCTGAGTCCTCCAAACTGCATTAAGATAGAATTTGGAACATCTTTTTTCTATACAATTGCTTAGCTTATAGAACTGTGTAATCCTATTTTTGTGAATGATTGAATCTGAATATCATAGTTTTCTTCATCTTGGCATGCCAAATTCTACTTTCCTGGGCTTATAGTTGTCTGGAATATTATAATCATGCCACTGGCTACAAAGAAACTACATTACAAAAATCTGAATCTCCCAGTATGAAGAGATGATCAAATGCTAAAATATATACATTACCAATTAACTCTGGCAGAACAATGTAGCTAGATGGAGTTATTTTTCCAATGGGGTGTTCTAAGCACTTGGCAGTTCTGCTTTTAGAGAGAGTTATTTTCGTAATTCAAAAAAGGGGTGTGTGTGTATATATACATATATATTTATATGAAGGAGGAAGAGTAGTAGTCACAAAGCAGGCAGATTATGTACAATTACAATTGTACATGTTCTAAGAGTAGTAATAAATCTTCATTTCTGGGCAT